>NC_000005.10:179372019-179522465 GCF_000001405.40 Homo sapiens | reverse complement strand
ACTGGGGCCCAGGTCCACATCACAGAGCTGGGGCCTCCCCCTCACAAAGGGCTCCTAAGGGTGGGGTGGGCAGTGGGAGGAGGAGGCTAAAGCCCAGCCCCGCCCACCACCACCCACCCCTGCAGTTCCCTCCACCCTCCTGGCCTTCCGGATCCCTCCTTCCCACTCCACCTTCTCAACCTGTCAGAGACAGACCTGGCCCGTTTTCCGTCCTCTCACCCTGGCACACAGATGATACCTGGTTCATTGGAGAACTCTGCTCAGACTCCCTCAGTTTCACAGTTTTTGAGGATCTGGATTTGTCCCCGAAATTCCTGTTATTTCCAGGGATTATTGCTCCAGGGTCTCCTCTGCCTGCAATTCTAACCTCCCCACACAATATGTTCTTGCCTTGCTTCAACTCAGACATAGAGCTTACATTTTTATACTTGTTTATCATTGTGAGTTTTGAATAAATTTTTATAATTTTTGCTTCAATTAATCTTTACTGTCTTCAGCTAGACTTAATCAAAAATTAAATCAATTCTTTATTATTAAAATTCATAGGACTAAAAAAGTATAAAATTGAACTAAACCTTCAAAGAATATTTTTATATATTTGCAATATTTTTGCTTCTAAAATCAATAAAAGTTAAAGTGCATGAGAAATTTTGGAATATTTGGCATACACACACACACATACACACACACACATATACACACATACCCTGTGACAAATCAATTCAGTATTTTCAAATAGAAGAATCAAGCCTTTCTTTCAGTTCAGAAGCTTTCTTTTAGTGTTTCTTATGAGGTAGGATGGCTGGCAGCAAATTTTCTGTCTTTATCTGGGAATATCTTTATTTTTAAAAGATAGATTTGCTGGACATGGCATTTTTAGTTGACAATTTTTTTTCTTTCATTCTTTGACTATGCCATCCCATTGCCTTCCCATCATTCATTCATTCATTCTTTTTCTTTCTTTCTTTCTTTCTTTCTTTCTTTCTTTCTTTCTTTCTTTCTCTCTCTCTCTCTCTCTCTCTCTCTCTCTTTCTTTCTTTCTTTCTTTCTTTCTTTCTTTCTTTCTTTCTATTTCTCTCTCTCTCTCTCTCTTTCTTTCTTTTTGAGACAGAATCTCCCTCTGTTTGTTGCCCAGGCTGGAGTGCAGTGGTGTGATCTCAGCCCACTGCAAACTCTGCCTCCCAGGTTCAAGCGATTCTCTGGCCTTAGCCTTCAAGTAGCTGGGATTACAGGTGTGCACCAACATGCCTAGCTAATTTTTTCTTTTTTTTTCTCTTTTTTTGAGATGGAGTCTCACTCCGTCGCCCAGGCTGGAGTGCAGTGGCGAGATCTTGGCTCACTGCAACCTCCACCTCCCGGGTTCATGCCATTCTCCTGCCTCAGCCTCCCAAGTAGGTGGGACTACAGGCGCCTGCGACCACGCCTGGCTAATCTTTTGTATTTTTAGTAGAGATGGCATTTCACTGTGTTAGCCAGGATGGTCTTGATCTCCTGACCTCGTGATCTACCCACCTCGGCCTCCCAAAGCTCTGGGATTACAGGCGGGAGCCACCGCGCCTGGTCTAATTTTTGTATTTTTAGTAGAGATGGGGTTTCACCATGTTGGCCAAGCTGGTCTCGAACTCCTGACCTCAGGTATTCCACCTGCCTTGGCCTCTCAAAGTGCTGGGATTACAGGCGTGAGCTGCCGTTCATGGTCTCACCATTGTTTCTGATCAGAAATCAGTGGCTAATTTTATCGTGGTGCTCTTGTACATGAGGAGAAGTTTTTGTCTTACTGTTTTCAATATTTGCTCTTTGTGTTTTCGTAGCTTGACACAAGGTGTGTAGGAGTGGATATATTGGTATTTATTTTACTGAAAGTAAACATTGATTCTATAGATTAATGTTTTATATCAAATTTGGTAAGTTTTCAGCCATTATTTCTATAAATAATTCTTTCTTTCCCCTTTTCTTTCTTTCTGAGACTCTCATTCTACATATGTTGTGCTTGACGTTTCATAAGTCATTTTTCTTTTTCTTTTTTGTTTGAGACAGAGTTTCGCTCTTGTTGCCCAGGCTGGAGTGCAATGGCGTGATCTCGGCTCACTGCAACCTCTGCCTCCCAGGTTCAAGCGATTCTCCTGCCTCAGTCTCCTAAGTAGCTGGGATTACAGGCATGCACCTGTAACCTCAGGTGATTTGCTCGCCTCGGCCTCCCAAAGTGCTGGGATTACAGGATTGAGCCACCGTGCCTGGCCCTTTTTAAGTTCTTTTAACATAAGTAACTGCTTTGAAGTCTTTGTTTGCTAAGTGTGACATCTGGGGACACAAAGACAGTTTTCCCCCACACTTGCCTGTTTCTTTTTGTCTTGTAACTTATCATTGAACACTGGATACTTTAGGTTATAGACTCTTCAACTCTGGATTCTGAATCTTTTCCGCTGAGAGTTGTTACTGTTTGTTCGTTTGTTTGTAACCAGCCTGTACTAAATTTGTAAATTCTGTGAGCAGCGTGTATCCGGAGCCGTCTCTGCTCATTTTTTGTTTGTTTCTTATGCATGGCTTCCCAGGAACCGCTCCTTTATCTGCGTGCTTGGTATTCTGCCAACAGTTGTCTGAATTTGTACACGAACACCTTGAGTCGGTGAGGCTTCCACTGTTGCTGATGGATCTACCCGTGGACTAGGGCGTGCACACACAGCTCAGGCCATCTGCTTTCCACAGGCATCTCCCCTCGCTGTGTCTTCTCTTCGCATGAGCTCAGGAACCGTCATCTGTCAGTGATGCTGGGTGGTTTGGGCAGGTTCTGGTCTCTGAGGAGAAGAGCAGAGCTACTGGTCCTTCCTGTTTGTTTGCATCAATATCCCTATTTGAAAATTCTCCAAATCATGTGAGTCCCTCTGGTGGTGACAGCAAAGCTGCTGGTTTCATGGTGTTCAACAAATGTGTTTTATATTTAGGTCTATGGGCCGGGAGTGGTGGCTCAGGCCTGTAATCCAAGCACTTTGGGAGACTGAGGTGGGCAGATCACCAGAAGTCAGGAGTTCAAGACCAGCCTGGCCAACATGGTGAAACCCCATCTCTACTAAAAATACAAAATTTAGCCAGGCATGGTGGTGGTCACCTGTCATCCCAGCTACTCAGGGGGCTGAGGCTGGAGAATCGCTTGAACCTGGGAGGCAGAGGTTGCAGTGAGCCGAGATTGCACACAATAAATAAATGATTTAATGCCCATACAATGGAGTGCCGTGCAGCTCTTAAAAAGAATGCCACGAGGATGGTCAACACATGCTGTTCTCCTGGATGAGGATTATTACCATCAGCTCCATTTTTCAGGTGAGAAAACTGAGACTTAGGGAGGCTACATAATTTTCCGAAGGTCACTCCCTACTGAATGTAGGAGCAGGGATCTGACAGCCACCTAATGACACCCTAGAACAGCACTCTCTCCTCCGCTCTCCTCCATGTCCCCCTCTGACTCCCGGGAGACCTCCCCAGCTTGCAGTCCCCAGGGCCCTGGTGTCCATAACCCGAGGAAGGGGAGGGGCCCATGAGATCTTGGACTTTCTCACTCTCTGAAAATGAGCAACTGAGAACGAGACTTGACTTTGCTTAGGAAGTATAAACAAATGCGACATTTATTGCCTATCAAATATTAGAAGCAGTTCGTCTATTTAACGTGTGTTAGTATCGGTGTTCCTTTTTATTCAAACTCTCCCTATTGAGCTCAAGAATCAAAGTCAGATAACTTTGTCGATAAATCCCTTCCTTTCTACACCCTTGCTACTCACTGTCTCAAGACCCAAACTCACTGGGACAAGGCGCTGCCCCTCCTGATTCAAGCCTGGTGTCTGCCTCTCACTATGCAAATCAGGAGCCAGACAGCCGCGGAGAGGGCGGCGGTGAGTGCACAGAGCACACGCATGCGTTCGGCTTGCCCCCACGCCGCCCCCGTTATCTCTGTGGGTGTGAAGGTGAGAATTTTTCACTTTTCCAGTGAGTTACTGTACTGCTTTGACTCTCACAAGCGTGTCGACTTGATGGATTTTTGTAAATATAGCCGTCAGCGGATGCCTCTTGTCCCCATCTCGGGAACCATAACCCAGATTCCCAAAGGGGAGCTTGCCCACATGGATGGAAACTGAGGCCCTCAGAGAGGCCATCGGCCTTGATCCCTTGCTCCTATTCAAAGATCTCAACATTATTGCAGCCTTCCTTGGGGCAGCCGGACATTCCCGTGTGGAGGAAGCGTCCACTCACGTGCCATGGGAACTTTGTAGATTTCACTGTGATGCAAACAGCTGCCCGTGAGGCCCTCAGTGCCCAGGGCCCGTTGTTGGGTGCTTTTGAGGGTGGGAGGTGGAGGGGTTTCCATTTTGCTTGGGGGATCAGCATCACCCATTCTTTCTCCTTTTCCTCTGGGCTGGTGCTCAGATGGTGAGAGCACTGTGCTGATGAGGTGGGCCCTGGGGTGGAACCCATGGCCCCCTCTGACTCCCAGGAGACCTGGCCAGCTGCAGCGGCCCCCGTGGACCAGCAGAGGGACAAGAGAGGAGCTGACGTGGAGGAGCCGAGGCCCACTGGGGGCTCCTGGAGAGTCCGTCCGCCTGTGGACAGCAGCTCAGGTGTTCAGCTGCTTCCAGAGAGGAAGCACCTCTTCCTAGACTGAGGCATCGTTTTGGTAAAAAAAAAAAAAAAAAAAAAAAAGTTGATTTTTTTCACCTTGGTGTAAATTTTTGTTTGTAACTATATGTTAGTTGTGACAGTTACCACTATTTGTTTTTCTTTTCTTTTTACGTTTTTGAAATTATTTATAGAGATGGGCTCTTGTTACGTTGCCCAGGCTGGTCTCAGACTCCTGGCCTCAGTGGTCCTTCCACCTTGGCCTCCCGAAGTGCTGGTACTACAGGTGTGAGCCGTGGCACCTGGCCTGTTTTTCTTTATTACCACAGATATTATATGGAGCCTTAAAGCCTCCTGGAGTGAGAGCTAGTTCATAACCATGCTGTTTGGAGAGAAGAAAACCACCTGGAATTCTTGTTCTCCAAAGATGTGGAATTATCATCCCAACAACAGCTGTCCTTCACTCTGTCCGGGGGCCTTCAGGTGTGGCCCATCCACCCCCTCAGTGTTTTCCTCGGTCCTGAGGTCACTCAGGTGTGGCCCATCCACCCCCTCAGTGTTTCCCTCGGTCCTGAGGATGCTCAGGTGTGGCCCATCCACCCCCTCAGTGTTTCCCTCTGTCCTGAGGATGCTCAGGTGTGGCCCATCCACCCCCTCAGTGTTTCCCTCGGTCCTGAGGATGCTCAGGTGTGGCCCATCCACCCCCTCAGTGTTTCCCTCGGTCCTGAGGATGCTCAGGTGTGGCCCATCCACCCCCTCAGTGTTTCCCTCTGTCCTGAGGATGCTCAGGTGTGGCCCATCCACCCCCTCAGTGTTTCCCTCTGTCCTGAGGATGCTCAGGTGTGGCCCATCCACCCCCTCAGTGTTTCCCTCTGTCCTGAGGATGCTCAGGTGTGGCCCATCCACCCCCTCAGTGTTTCCCTCGGTCCTGAGGATGCTCAGGTGTGGCCCATCCACCCCCTCAGTGTTTCCCTCGGTCCTGAGGATGCTCAGGTGTGGCCCATCCACCCCCTCAGTGTTTCCCTCCGTCCTGAGGATGCTCAGGTGTGGCCCATCCACCCCCTCAGTGTTTCCCTCTGTCCTGGGGATGCTCAGCTGTGGCCCATCCCCTTAGTGTTTTACCTCCCACGTTCTCTATTTTTTGTTTCCAATCTTCCCACACAGGTGGAGAGAGGAGGGGATCCAATTGCCTGTGAGGAGGACACGGCTCATGGGTGGACCCTGCAGATTGTGAAGTTCAAGTCACAGCTCCTGGGAAGGTCTCTGTGTGTAAAGATTGTGGGGGCGAGATAGATTCAGGGACCACACTCTGCTCTGCTCTATATCTCTGAGTGTCGATCCAGCTGCCTTGTGACCAGGACACTTGGAAGAACCATGGACCCTGCAAGAGGGCAGGTTCAGAGAGTGAGATGAGCACGCTTGAGGGATTAAAGTGTAACTTGAACCACTGCCTTGCAAACTGCGTGAGGGCATGCAGGTGTGTGTCTGTGCGTGTGTGTGCTGGGAAGATGTTTAGCAGCCTCATGGAGGGGTAACTGACATACAAGAGAACAAGCCAGGCATGGTGGCTCACGCCGTAATCCCAGCACTTTGGGAGGCCGAGGTGGGTGAATCACCTGAGGTCAGGAGTTCGAGACCAGCCTGACCAACACAGTGAAACCGCATCTCTACTAAAACTACAAAAAATTAGCCAGGCATGGTGGCGGGCACCTGTAATCCCAGCTACTCTGGAGGCTGAGGCGGGAGAATCACTTGAACCCAGGAGGTGGAGGTTGCAGTGAGCCGAGATCGTGCCACTGCACTCCAGCCTGGGCAACAAGAGCGAAACTCCATCTCAAAAAAAACAAATTTTTTTGATCAATGTTAACACACGTACGCACCCGCAAAACCATGACCAGGAGCATCACGACTCCCAAAGCTTCCTCATGATTCTTTGGAATCCCTCCCTACAGCCCCTCCCACCCCCCCCCATCCCAAGCAGCCACTGATTTGCTTTCTGTCACAGTCAGTAGATTTGCAATTTCCTTAATACCATGTCTGAGCCCAGTAGGCAAATACTTTCTTTTTATTGGGTGGACATTTCGTGGCATGTTCAAGCTTTTGAATTCAGAGAGTGAGAGGATGAGAAAGAAAAGGCTGGTCTGGGTCACTCCTGGGAGGCCTGGCCCTAAGCACCGTGTGGCTCATGTGCCCTGGAGCCCCTGTGCACCGGTCATCCCTGACTGCCCTGCCGCAAGCTTTATAGCTCCCCCATCACCTTTCCCGGACCAGCTGGTACAATCTCAAACTTTTCACCAATTCTGACATCTAAACAACTAACGCCAGAGACAGGCTCTGTGGGACCAGCAGCTGCGACCTCACCTCCGGTCACTGGAACACTGAGCTGTTAAATGAAAGGTGCGTCCTTCTTTCTCCCTTTCCAGGGAGAATGCTCTGCTCTTCTTCCTGCTGGATCCCTCCTCTACCTGCTTCTCTCCCACCTCCTGCAGCCCCCGGAGCCCCGTGGCGATGCAGGCAGACTCATCTGTACCCTCATTCTGTTTGCAGAACCACATCTCTGGGCTGGCTCTGCCCAAGGACACCACACCTTCTCCATTCCTCTTGCCCTTTCCCCGTGGGGTGCAGGTGGGGCTGGGCCCACGATGGCATCAGGCCCACTCTCTCTAATGCAGGAAGGGATCAGATGCCGGGAGCCATGGAGATTGTCCTCATCCCGATCATCTCCCAGCTTAGCAAATGATGATGAAGACAGTTTTCCCACAAGATAGGCATAGCCTCTGGGACAGTGCCTCGTTTATTTTCTAGCACAAAATAGACGTTAGAACAGTGGGGCTTTGTGGGCATATGGAGATTTTTAAGGCTCCTTAGGAGGCAGGTAAAAATTTCTTCAATAAGACAAAACACTATCCCCAAAGAAAATGATTGATAAATGTGGGGAAAAGCAAGAGAGATCAGATTGTTACTGTGTCTGTGTAGAAAGAAGTAGACATGGGAGACTCCATTTTGTTCTGTACTAAGAAAAATTCTTCTGCCTTGGGATGCTGTTAATCTATAACCTTACCCCCAATCCCGTGCTCTCTGAAACGTGTGCTGTGTCAACTCAGAGTTAAATGGATTAAGGGCGGTGCAAGATGTGCTTTGTTAAACAGATGCTTGAAGGCAGCATGCTCCTTAAGAGTCATCACCACTCCCTAATCTCAAGTACCCAGGGACACAAACACTGCGGAAGCCCGCAGGGACCTCTGCCTAGGAAAGCCAGGTATTGTCCAAGGTTTCTCCCCATGTGATAGTCTGAAATATGGCCTCGTGGGAAGGGAAAGACCTGACCGTCCCCCAGCCCGACACCCGTAAAGGGTCTGTGCTGAGGAGGATTAGTATAAGAGGAAGGCATGCCTCTTGCAGTTGAGACAAGAGGAAGGCATCTGTCTCCTGCCTGTCCCTGGGCAATGGAATGTCTCGGTATAAAACCCGATTGTATGCTCCATCTACTGAGATAGGGAAAAACCGCCTTAGGGCTGGAGGTGGGACCTGCGGGCAGCAATACTGCTTTGTAAAGCATTGAGATGTTTATGTGTATGCATATCTAAAAGCACAGCACTTAATCCTTTACATTGTCTATGATGCAAAGACCTTTGTTCATGTGTTTGTCTGCTGACCCTCTCCCCACAATTGTCTTGTGACCCTGACACATCCCCCTCTTCGAGAAACACCCACAAATGATGAATAAATGCTAAGGGAACTCAGAGGCTGGCGGGATCCTCCATATGCTGAACGCTGGTTCCCCGGGTCCCCTTATTTCTTTCTCTATACTTTGTCTCTGTGTCTTTTTCTTTTCCAAATCTCTCGTCCCACCTTACGTGAAACACCCACAGGTGTGTAGGGGCAACCCACCCCTACAGATACATTGGATGATAGTAAAATTAAGAATTTTTTCATCAATAAGAGAGTAAAAAGATGGGGCCGGGTGTGGTGGCTCACGCTGTATCCCAGCACTTTGGGAGGCCAAGGCGGGAGGATCACTTGAGGTCAGGAGTTAGAGAACAGCCTGAGCAGCTTAGCAAGACCTCGTCTCTACGAAAAATGAAAAATTGGCTGGGCGTGGTGGTGCATGCCTGTGGTCCCAGATACTTGGGAGGCTGAGGCAGGAGGAACACTTGAGCCTGGGAGGCTGAGGCTGCAGTGAGCCATGATTGTGCCACTGCACTGCAGCCTGGGTGACAGAGTGAGACTCTGTCTCTTAAAAAAAGAGGTGGGGAATGGAGGAGGGTGAAAAGATAAATCACATGTAGAGTATAAAGAGAATTCCTGTAAGTTAATAAGAAAAATGCATGCGGGACTTAATACCTAGGTGACGGGTGGATAAGTGCAGCAAACCACCATGGCACATGTTTACCTGTGTAACAAACCTGCACGTTCTGTACATGTATCCCAGTACTTAAATAAAGTTTTTTAAAAAATT
The DNA here is from genome assembly GCF_000001405.40 of Homo sapiens. NCBI lineage: Eukaryota > Metazoa > Chordata > Mammalia > Primates > Hominidae > Homo > Homo sapiens. The sequence continues at coordinate 179,513,401 of NC_000005.10, read as the reverse complement.
AAGAAAAAAGCTGGCAGACCAATAGGACAATGGGTGAAAGAAATGAAGAGGGACAAAAAAGGGAAGGAAGAAAGGGAGGGAGGGGGGAGGGAGGAGGGGGGAAGGGAGAGGAAAGAGCAAATGAACATCCAAATGGCCAAAAAGCATTTAAAACATGCTCAGCCTCATAAGCCATCAAATTTAAACCACAGTGAGAAACCAATATTACACCTACCAGAATTGCTAAAATTAAAAACACTGTTGATACCAAGTTTGGGCAAGAATGTGGAGTAACTGAAACTTCATATACTATTGGGAATGTAAAATAGCACAACTACTTTGGAAAACCCTTGGGTAATACCTACTAAAGGAGACCACACATGTGATCCCCACATTCCACTCTTACGCATAGACCCAAAAGAACTGTGCACTGTGCACGTGTTCACCAAATGACGTGCGACGTGCACTAGGATGTTTATACCAGCACCCTTCACAATAGCCCCAAATTCCAACAGGAGAGTGGATAAGTACCTCTCAGTATATTTATAGAGTAAAATTCTTACAGCACTGAAAATGGATTCACAGCCACCATGCACAGTTGGTGAATCTCAGCAACATACTGTTGAGCAGAAGCAGCCAGACACAAATGAATGCGTACGGCACGATTCTGTTTCTGCGAAGCCCTAAAACAGGCCAAAGAAACATCTGGTGAGAAGTCAGGATAGCGATTATCTTAGTGCTCTGGGGGAGGGTGGCTCTGGTAATATTCTATTTCTTGATCTGAGGGCTGGTGTCCCAGACGTATTCACTCTACGATAATTTACCAAGCTGCCCTCTGGGGATTGGTGGCTTCTCTGTATGAATATTACACTCAATTAAAAAAACACACTCAATAACAAAAACCTAACAATCAAATTCAGAAATGAGCAAGGCTGGGCGCGGTGGCTCACGCCTGTAATCCTCGCACTTTGAGAGGCCGAGGCGGGCAGATCACCTGAAGTCAGGAGTTCGAGACCAGCCTGGCCAACATGGTGAAACCCGTCTCTACTAAAACTACAAAAATTAGCCGGGTGTGGTGGCACATGCCTGTAATCTCAGCTATTTGGGAGGCTGAAGCAGGAGACTCGCTTAAACCTAGGAGGTGGAAGTTTCAGTGAGCCGAGATCACGCCACTGCACTCCAGCCTGGGTGACAGAGTGAGACTCTGTCTTAAAAAAAAAAAAAAAAAAAAAAAAAAAGGCTGGGCGCGGTGGCTCACACCTGTAATCCCAGCACTTTGGGAGGCCAAGGCGGGCGGATCACAAGGGCAAGAGATGGAAACCATCCTGGCTAACACGGTGAAACCCCTTTTCTACTAAAAATACAAAAAATTAGCCAGGCGTGGTGGCGGGCGCCTGTAGTACGAGCTACTCAAGAGGCTGAGGCAGGAGAATGGTGTGAACCCGGGACGCGGAGCTTGCAGTGAGCCAAGATCGCGCCACTGCACTCCAGCCTGGGTGACAGAGCGAGACTCCCTCTCAAAAAAAAAAAAAAAAAAAAAAAAGAGCAAAGGACTCGAATGGACATTTCTCCATACTCAGCATCACTAATCATTAGGGAGATGGAAATGACAACGAGATTCCTTTTCACTCCTACTACATTGACTAGTATCAAAGAAAACCCAGAATATAACGAATGTTGGTAAGGATGTGGAGAGACTGGAACCCTTGTGCACTGCTGGTGGGAATGTAAAATAGTGCCGCCCCTCTAGAAAACAGTAAGGCAGTTCCTCGGAAATTACACCTAGGGACGCTCCAGCAATTCCACTTCTGGGTATATATCCCCCAAAAATTGAAAGCAAGGAAATAAAGAGACACTTGCCCATCCCTGTCGATAGCTGTGTTATTCACAATAGATAAAAGGTGGGAGCAACTCAGCCGGGTGCGGTGGCTCACGCCTGTAATCTCAGCACTTTGGGAGGCTGAGGCAGGCGGATCATGAGGTCAGGAGTTCGAGACCAGTCTGACCTACATGGTGAAACTCCATCTCTACTAAAAATACAAAAAAAAATGGCCAGGCGCGGTGGCTTATGCCTGTAATCCCAACACTTTGGGGGGCCGAGGCAGGCAGATCACCTGAGGTCAGGAGTTTGAAACCAGCCTGGCCAGCACGGTGAAACCCTGTCTCTACTAAAAATACAAAAAAATTAGCTGGGCGTGGTGGTGGGAGCCTGTAGTCCAAGCTACTCAGGAGGCTGAGGCAGGAAAATCACTTGAACCTGGAAGGTGGAGGTTGCAGTGAGCTCAGATTGCGCCATTGCATTCCAGCCTGGGCAACAAAAGTGAGACTCCATCTCAACAGAAAAAAAACAAAAAAATTAGCCAGGTGTGGGGACACGTGCCTGTAATCCCAGCTACTCAGGAGGCTGAGGCAGGAGAATCGCTTGAACCCGGGAGGCAGAGGTTGCAGTGAGCAGAGATCGTGCAACTGCACTCCAGCCTGGGTGACAGAGTGAGACTCTGTCTCAAAAAAAAAAGAATTCTAGCTTGTTGCTTAGTGTGTGTGTGTATACATATATGCGCATGCACACATACACACACATATAAAACGGTGTGTTAAAATACATTATTTCATATGAATGCTGGAAAATCATAGTTTTTTTTTTTTTTTTTTTTTTTGAGACGGAGTCTCACTCTGTCGCCCAGGCTGGAGTGCAGTGGTGCGATCTTGGCTCACTGCAAGCTCCACCTCCCAGGTTCACGCCATTCTCCTGCCTCAGCCTCCTGTGTAGCTGGGACCACAGGCGCCTGCCACCAAGCCTGGCTAATTTTTTGTACTTTTAGTAGAGATGGGGTTTCACCGCGTTAGCCAGGATGGTCTCGATCTCCTGACCTCATGATCTATCTGCCTGCCTCAGCCTCCCAAAGTGTTGGGATTACAGGCGTGAGCCACCGCGCCCGACCAAAAACTTAGTCTTTTAAATAATCATTAATAATAATGATAGGCTGGGCACGGTGGCTCATGCCTGTAATTCTAGAACTTTTGGAGTCAAAGGTGGTCAGATCACTTGAGCCCAGGAGTTCAAGACCAGCTTGGGCAACATGGGGAAACACCATCTCTACAAAAGATACAAAAAAAAAATTAGCTGGGCATGGTGGTGCATGCCTATAGTCTCAGCTACTGAGGAGGCTGAGGCAGGAGGATCAGTTGAGCCCAAGAGGTCGAGGCTGCAGTGAGTGCTGATCTGCTACTGCAGTCCAGCCTGGGTGACAGATTGGGACCTCATCTCAAAAAAAGGGAGAGGGAGAGGAAGAGGGGAGAAGAAGAGGAAGAGGAAGAAAGAAGAAGGAGGAGGAGGAGGAAGAGGAAGAAGAAAAAAGAAGAAAAAGAAGAAGAGAAGAAGGAGGAAGAGAAGAAGGAGGAGGAGGAAAAGAAGAAGAAAAAGAAAGAAGAAAAGGAAAAAGAAAAAAGAAGAAGAAGAAGAACAACAACAACAAGAAGAAGAAATTAATAATAGTAATCATCATCATCATCATCATCTGGGCTTACTTCCAGTGTCACTATGGTTCTATTATTCTGGAGAAAATAAGTCTTGTTTCTCATTTATAACAGAATACATACATGAAATAGGCTAGAGCAGACTGGAGAAATTATTTTGAACCCCGGGGTCTTAGGCAAAAACGTTGTTTGCTAAACTATGTAATTCCTGGAGTCTTGGATGTTGGCGCACCCAGCACTGCGATGCTCTGCACATTGCGTGTGTTTGTGTTTGTAATTCGAACATTGTGTTAGAATGGGCTGACACTGTCACAGTGGGGGACATCACTGGCTAAGCCTTATTTATTCTGGGAATCTGCCTCTTGGGATCTAAATTTTTACATGTCAGAAACAAATGTTATAGGGAAAATTACACCAGTGGACTTCTGAGAACTAAATGCAATGATCATATTCTGAAACACATGTGTCTAGAGTGTGTGCATGTGATCAAGTAGATTCTAGGTACTGCATAACGGTTGCACTTCCTCTGTTTCACTAACGGCGATTTCCAGACGTATGTTTTGAAGTGTTTAAGAAGCAATTTAGAACTCCAGAGAGCATGCATTAGGACACTGGAAAATCTACAAGAAACTGGAGCAACTTGTTTTTGAAGAATGCTTCATGTTAACATGGAGCTGTAAACTGTCTTTGTGAAAGTTGCTGTTCTGATTGCTGTATTTTTCTTCATCTTTCCCAATGAGTACAGCAGTTTTATGTCTACGTTGGCTTCTTTCTTTCTTTCTCCTATCAAAAACATTGTAGCTTTATGAGAACTTTATTTTGTCTTGTTATGGTTCTTTACCTACACCAAAATAAATGCAGATGATTTTCTATTGACATAGGACATAGGAAGTCTTTTCTACTTACTTATCAAGTAATGTAGATTTACAGTCTATTTTCATGAGGTTCTTTCAGAGGATACAAGTTTTTTTGTTTTTGTTTTTGTTTTTTTTTTTTTGAGATAGAGTCTCGCTCTATCGCCCAGGCTGGAGTGCAGTGGCGTGATCGCTGCTCACTGCAAGCTCCGCCTCCTGGGTTCATGCCATTCTCCTGCCTCAGCCTCCTGAGTAGCTGGAACTACAGGTGCCCGCCACCATGCCCGGCTAATTTTTTTTTGTATTTTTAGTAGAGACGGGGCTTCACCATGTTGGCCAGGATGGTCTCGATCTCCTGACCTCGTGATCTGCCCGCCTTGGCCTCCCAAAGTGCTGGGATTACAGGCATGAGCCACCGCGCCCGGCCTAGAGGATACAAGTTTTAACTCTCACACCAAAGCAAAATTTCATCCAATTAATTCATCCAATCATATTTTTAAATATGTTGGGTTCAGCAAAGATATATGCATAGTTATACAGGCATTTACCCTTCATTGCTTCTTATTATTTTTAATTCCATCTAGATATCACCACATAAAAATTCCATTATCATTAAGAAATAAACACAGAAACATCTGCTAGAAACATTTGAACTCACATAGCTGAACTCTAGTTAATGTTTTGATCCTTGAGTAGTTTGAATATGGAGCATGGAATCAAGCCCTGGACAACTGCTTCTGAACACTGCTTCTGCACACTGCTTCTGCACACTGCTTCTGCAAACTGCTTCTGCAAACTGCAAGCAAACTGCTTCTGCACTCTTTTTTTTTTTTTTTTGAGAAGGAGTCCGCTCTGTGGCCGGGGCTGGAGTGCAGTGGCGCGATCTCAGCTCACTACAAGCTCTGCCTCCCGGGTTCACCCCATTCTCCTGCCTCAGCCTCCTGAGTAGCTGGGACTGCAGGTGCCTGCCAACACGCCTGGCTAATTTTTTGTATTTTTACTAGAGACAGAGTTTTGCCATGTTGGCCAGGCTGGTCTCGAATCCCTGACCTCAGGGGATCTGCCCGCCTCGGCCTCCCCGTGTGCTGGGATTACAGGGGTGAGCCACTGTGCCCAGCCAGAAGAAAGTAAGCTTTTTAAGGTAGGACTGTGCATTTCACTTCCTTGTTTTTACCTAGTGATTTCTTTTCTTTTCTTTTCTTTTTTTTTTTTTTTTTGAGACGAAGTCTCGCTCTTGTCCTCCAGGCTGGAGTGTGATGATGCGATCTCAGCTCACTGCAACCTCTGCCTCCTAGGTTCAAGCGATACTCCTGCCTCAGCCCCCTGAGTAGCTGGGATTACAGGCACCTGCCACCATGCCCGGCTAGTTTTGGTATTTTTAGTAGGGATGGGGGGTCTCACCATGTTGGCCAGGCTGGTCTCGAACTCCTGACCTCAGGTGCTCCACCCACCTCGGCCTCCCAAAGTGCTGGGATTACAGGCATGAGCCACCGTGCCGGGCCACCTACAGTGATTTCTACATAACAGGCTTAGCAAAATATTTCTTAACTGTAACAGACTTTTCCAGACAACACTGACAGGATTATTGCCTTCAGATCCCACATGGACCAGGTAAGATTCTTAGGAAAACCTGGCAAAATCAGTGACAGTGATGGTCGCCCTCCCAAAAAAATTGCACTTAGGGGTTATTTTATAAAAAGTACTGTTGTTTGGCTGGGCGTGGTGGCTCACGCCTGTAATCCCAGCACTTTGGGAGGCTGAGGCAGGCGGATCACGAGGTCAGGAGATCGAGACTATCCTGGCTAACACAGTGAAACCCTGTCTCCACTAAAAAAACACAAAAAAATGGCTAGGCACGGTGGCTCACGTCTGTAATCCCAGCACTTTGGGAGGCCGAGGTGGGTGGATCACGAGGTCATGAGATCAAGACCATCCTTGCTAACATGGTGAAACCCCGTTTCTACTAAAAATACAAAAAAAAAAAAAAATTAAATTAGCCAGGAGTGGTGGCGGGCACCTGTAGTCCCAGCTACTCGAGAGGCTAAGGCAGGAGAATGGCATGAATCTGGGAGGCGGAGCTTGCAGTGAGCCGAGATCATGCCACCACACTCCAGCCTGAGCGACAGAGCGAGACTCTGTCTCAAAAAAAAAAAAAAGTACTGTTTTTTGTACCGTTTAAAATCTACTGTGAAATGTTACTGATTAATATATATGTATATATAACACGTATATTTATATATGTATAATATATATGTCTATGTATATATGTATATATCTTTTTTTTTTGAGATGGAGACTCACTCTGTCACCCAGGCTGGAGTGCAATGGTGAGATCTCGGCTCACTGCAACCTCCGCCTCTCAGGTTCAAGCAATTCTCTGCCTCAGCCTCCCAAGTAGCTGGGATTACAGGTGACTGCCACCACGCCTGGCTAATTTTTTTTTTTTTTTAGTAGAGACGTGGTTCTACCATCTTGGCCAGGCTGGTCTTGAACTCCTGACCTCACGATCCACCTGCCTCGGCCTCCCAAAGTGCTGGGATTACAGGCGTAAGCCACTGCGCCCGGCCTATATATATGTATATATCTTAAATTGAGGCGTATGAGAGGGATTTACACAGGAGAGAAATCCCTATATTTTCCTATTCAGTAGCCTTTCCGCCTATACTGAATAAATAGCAACATCATTTAACAAAGAAATTTTCATAAATATTTCTGTTCAATTTTCCAAGAAATAGAAAAACTGTCTTTTTCTCGAACCAGCCAGTGAAATCCACACAGTGTAAAGGGTGTCAGGGTCTCCAAAGCAGCCCAGAAACCCCATGCGCCTGGAAGGAACATGAGCCTCAAGACAATGCTGAGAACCCCCAGGCTGAGCCCTCATCCTGCACTGAAGCATGGGGAGACCAGGAAGAGGAGCGGCCAGCCCAGGGCCACGAAGGCATTGGGAGCAGTGGCTGCAGTGCTGTCCTGAAATTCTCTGTCCAGCCAGCGAGTCTTTCTCCTGTCTGTTCACACAGGGTGGTGGCTCACCAGGGGAGCAGTCCTGCGCCTTCCTCTCAGGCTTTCCTCCAGCATGGCTCTTTTCATGGAATCCGGTGTCTTCAGGGCCAAGGGGAGGTGCCCACCTGGAGCCCTCTCCCACAACCCCTGGAACATGCTCTGGGTACCCCAGGCCCCACGGTTCCCTGCCCCAAAAGCCCCAAGCCCCTTTCAGGGCCTAGCGCAGGCCTCTTGCATGGATCTCTCCTGGAGGGTGGACCACAGAGCTAGTAGGCCTGAGAGGTGGGCATAAAACAGCTGTTGGCAGGGCTGCTTGGAGCCGGGGCTGACCAGAGGTCGGGGTGCTGGGCCCTCCCCACTGCAGTCCAGCATAGAACCCGGCGGCGGCCAAGAATTCTCAATGGGAATAAAGTCACTTTAACAGCAGATTTCTCCAGGGTGGAGCTAGAACATATTTTATTTACCAATTTGTTCATTAATTTATAAGTTGATTTATAAATATTTAGACCAGCAGTTCTCAAACATTTTGTGCTGAGGATCCCTTTGCATTCTAAAAGATTGTTGAGAACCCCAAAGAGTTTTTGTTCGTGTGGGTTACATCTATCAATGTTTACCATATTGTAATTTTAAACTGAGGCATTTTAAAAATATTTATTCATTAAGTTTTAGAAAAATAACAATAAGCCCATTATACAGTTATACAAGTAACACACTTTTTGTTTTGTGTTTAAGAAAACTAACTCTATTTTCCAAGACAACCAAAAAACTGTAGTGAGAAGAGTGGTTGGAGAGCTTTGCAAATCTCTTCACGGCCTGGATGAAGAGCAGACAGCTGAGTTCTCATCTCTGCTCGGCCTTCAGTCCGTGTTGCGATGTGTTGTCGGGCTGAAGCATACGAAGAAATTCCAGACTCCCGCAGAGAGGAAACTAGAAAAGGGAGCCATGTTTCAGAGCTGTTTCAGATCTTTTTCAGAGAGCTGCGGGTGTTCTGATTTGATGCTACTCCAGAACTCAACGAGTAGCAGTTTCCTAAGGATTAGCTGCTGGGGCCAGAGAAGGGTTTGGAGAGTGAGGCCCAGGGTGCAAACTCAGGGAGGCGCTGGTTCTCAGGGGTGTGCAGCTGCTGACCCAGCGCTTCGTTCCCTTCAACCTAATACCCACCCTGCTAGATGCAAAGTGAAATTTGAATCCAGAGTGATAAACTTTTGCTCTCTGCTCCGTCAAAATTCATTCATTTTTCTTGGACTTTGAGTGGATCTTTTGCCCATGCATGTTTGCACGGGCATGGAACCGTCAGGACTGGGATTTCATCTTACTCCACTACAAACTAATCATTAACTTGTTACTGTTGCATGGATGCTGGCAAAAGAGTTGAGATTCCTGTGTCAGAGACAAAGGACTTTATTATTCACAGCATGCTCACACAGCAAGCAGAGCGGGCAGCAGCCCGTTTTGCACTTGTTCCCTCTGTCCCCCAAGTCCTGCAGAGGTGATGCAGAGGAGCTGAGATAGATGCTACACGCACAGTGGGTTTGCGTTGCAGCTGAGGAGCACTGAGCTTGGAGGCCCATCGCTTTTGTAGCATGCAGTAAGCAAGCCTGCTGTTTGTCCCGGAGGGAGACAGTAGCTCATTCCTCAAGGCTGCTCACTACAAATATAAATCTTAGAAACAGTTTGGATGAAAAGAGTGCCCAAGCTTTGCATTCTTGGCACACCCAGAAAGACCTGTGGGAGCGTGAGAGATCCACAGAGGATGATCTTTTCCTAACGGAAGCATGAAGCGTTGGTCATCTGGAAAATATTGGTTCACTGAGTTATGTGGATCCTCCAAATGTTGACACATTTCTTTGCACAACATCAAAAAAGCACATTTATTTTTATGTATTTATTTATGTGTGTACTTTTTTTTTTTTTTTTTTGAGATGGAGTCTCATTCTGTGGCCCAGGCTGGAGTGCAGTGGTATGATCTCGGCTCACTGCAACCTCCGCCTCCTGGGTTCAAGCGATTCTTCTGCCTCAGCCTCCCGAGTAGCTGGGACTACAGGTTAGCGCCACCACACCCAGCTAATTGTTGTATTTTTAGTAGAGACGGGGTTTCACCATGTTGGCCAGGATGGTCTCGAACTCCTGACCTCAGCTGATCCACCTGCCTCGGCCTCTCAAAAGCAACTTTTCTTGACATTGGGAGTGTAGAGCAGTAAGGAACACAGAGCTGGCACATCGGGGATCCACTGCCTTGATCTGAATTAGTTTTACCCACGGTCATTTTGTACCTTTTACACTAAATGTCAACATGATGAAAAGGGCAAATAATGTCTTAACAGTCACATGAAAATACTTTTACTTCACAGACCTCTGAATAAGTCGTGGGAGCCCTCGGGTCCTGCAGACCACAAGGGAGGAGCGACTGATGTTCACTTTGGAGACGCGGGCTTCTGATTGCACCCTTGCCCCAGGCCCCGTGAACTCCAGGAAAGGATCTTCCAGGGACACAGACAACAGAACAAAATACTTGTTTGTCTTCAAGGACTTCAGGGTCTTCAGCATGTTCAAACCCACAGGTGCCTTCGGGGACCAAGAGGCAGAGAGATGGGAGGAGCGGCTGGGTGGGGCCCGGGCAGAGCGGAGGACACAGGTGTGAATTTGTGCGCAGCCGCTGCTCCCTCCGGCCAGCCGTGGCCAAGTGGACATTCGGACCCAGAGCGGCCAGATCTTGTAATTTCCAAGAAAGCCAGAAACCCAGATTTTTATATAAAATTTCTGAAATGTTGAAAGTTGGCAACTAATTGTCTTTTTTTTTCCTTTGAGTCGGAGTCTCGCTCCGTCGCCCAGGCTGGAGTGCAGTGGCACAATCTCGGCTCACTGCAAGCTCCGCCTCCCGGGTTCACACCATTCTCCTGCCTCAGCCTCCCGGGTAGCTGGGACTACAGGCGCCCGCCACCACGCCCTGCTAATTTTTTTGTATTTTTAGTAGAGACGGGGTTTCACTGTGTTAGCCGGGATGGTCTCGATCTCCTGACCTCGTGATCCGCCCATCTCGGCCTCCCAAAGTACTGGGATTACAGGCGTGAGCCACCGCGCCTGGCCGGCAGCTATTTATCTTAACAAAACAAATCTGTGAGGCTAAACAGAAGACCCCCAGGCTGGGTTCAGGCTATGGGTGCCAGTGTGCAGCCTCTGGTCTCGAGGGAGAGCCAGACACATACATCATTACAACATGAGCTGATGTGGGGTTACAAGGTGCCCTGGGAGCAGAGAGAAAGAAGGGCCTGATAATCACAGCTTCCCTTTCCTGAGAACTTGCAGGTACCGGGGGGTCTACACACCACGGCTTCACGTAATCCACTTGGCAACCTCACAAGGTAGGAATCATGATGACCCGCGCTATTTTATAGAGGAGGAAACTGAGACTTAAGGTGCATAAGTAACCGACCAGGCCGCAGCTCTCCCCTCGCCTCCTGCAGCTCTCCCCTCACTTCCACCTCTCTGTCTCTCTGGGTTTCTTGCTGCACTCATAGGAAGCAGGCTTCTGCCTTGGGGCCTTGGCATATGCTGTCTCCTTCTGTCTGGATGGTTCTTTCCCCAGAAGAACTTCCCCCTCCACTGCATTCAGGCAGCTACTGAAAACCACCTTCTCACAGAGCCCTTCCCTAACTCCCTGTCCCATGATAACCACACACACACACACACACACACACACACACACACACTGTACACCCTCACCCTGCTTTATTTCCTTCTGTGTATAATTTCCAGAAATTACTGGATTCCTGTTCCTGTTTATTTTCTATCTGCTGTCCCTGCCAGTGCCATCCCCACTAGAATGCAGCTGCCTGCGTGAGGTCACCTGGCACCTAGGACAGCGCTGGTCCCTGTGAGTGCTCCCTAACTGTGCCGCCTGGATGGAGGGAGACCTACCGCTGGGCTCAAGACGCAGGAACACGAGGCACACACAGTTATGACTCATCAGACCCTTGCAATTTACTTCAAAAGAGTCTAATGACAACGAACTGTAAAACGCTGTGAGAAATCGGCACAGGGAGGGAGAGGTGAGCTGAGTGTGAGATCGGGACAGGCCCCGTCTGGGGGGATGTGGTGCTTGGGCTCCAGAACACCCCCCCGGGGTCTTTCCCACAGGCACAGCCACCCAAGGAGAGCTCACCTCGGCCGGCCACAAGCAGGTTACCTACTCAATTCTTCATGCACAAACAGTAGTGACAGACTCACAATATGAAATTGACTGACAACCCAATTTCAAAAATAACTTATGGGAGCCTTCCCAAAAGAAGATAGCAAGTGGCAGATACATGTATGAAAAGGGGCTCAACCTCATTCTTCATCGGGGAAACTCAAATGAAAACCACGCTGAGATACTGCAGTGCTCCAGCAGAATGGCTGAAATTAAAGGCTGGCTGTACCCCGTGTGGGTGTAGATGTGGGGCAGTTAGGACCCCCGTGCACGGTTGGTGAGCATATTAATTGGTACCACCACTGCACAGAAATGTCTGGAAATCCCTCCTCTTCCCTAACATATGCGGGTCCTTTGACCCACATGTTTCTCTCTTGTTCTATATTGAAGAGAAATGAGTGTGTATGTTACAGAAACACCAGGGGTTTGTCTAGGTGCTGCTGCTCGCCACACAAAAAGCCAGTCACTGAGACAAGGAGCATTGCCAGAGAAGAAGCTTTAATCCCGTGCTGCAGCCCAGGAGATGGGAGATCAGTCTCAGCCCATCCCCTGACCCACGAAAATCAGGGGTTTATGTAGCAGAGAAGAAATGTAACCATGTGTGTGAAAACAGGAATCAGGGAGGGGCGAGGAAGAGTCGGTCACCAGGAAGCAGGTGGTGGGTTAGGCAATTCCCAGGCTGGAGGGTGTGGGGGTCTTGGGAGTTTTTTTTTTTATTCTATCTGGGAGGCCTGATAGGTGGTTTCTTGGGAAAGGAACTCAGATAAGACAAGAAGGATCTTATCTTGTGAGACTGGAAGGATCATTTCTATGTTTATTCAAAGAAACCATAAACATCAGTTCTATGGGGCAATTGGGCCGGTTTCACTTCTCTCCGATAACGAACACATTGAAGAATGTTCATCATAACTTTATTCCTAATAGTCAAAACCCCAAACACTCATCAGTAAATGAGTAAGTGAACTGTGGCCTGTGCATCTGAAGGAGAACTACACACACACAGCAGAGAACAATCTCAGCAGCGTGGTGACGCTCACGCTGGGTAAAAGAGGCCAGACACAAAAGGGGATGTACCGAAAGATTCCTTTTATATAAAGGACAAGAGTAGGCAAAACTGTTATGTGGAAATGAGAACAATGGTTACCTCCTAGGGCAGAGGAGCGTACAGACCAGGAAGGCAGAGGAGGGGCTGTCTTGAAATGCACCTGGGACTTTGTTTTCCTCAGCTCTGGTCAGATGACAGCCTGGGAGACACTGCCTTTGAATGAAGAGTTGATGACTTTCCAGCATGGGGAAGCACCAGGTCAGTCCCGAGGCAGAAGGAGCAAGGGGAGGGCCCAGGCTGGGCCTTCACTGGGGTCTCTGTGGGAAGGAATAGATGAGGGTGGAGGTGAGCTTGAGCAAGCTTCGGGTGGCCCCGTTTGCCTAATGTTGGCAGGCCCGGAGCTATGGCATGGTCCCTAGTCATCCAGTACCATGCTCTGGAGTGAGATGGGGCAGGGAGAATATTTCCTGGGTGTGTGAGTTAGATAAAGGGTGTGGTGGGGGCAGGGGCTTCTGACTGCTGGTTTGCATAGGGAGGTATGTGCTGTCTCCAGAACTAGCCAGCCCTGGGAGGGGCAGTCCCTTCCCCGCCAGCAAAGCCTCCTGCGATGCCAAAGCGCCATAGAACACAGAAACCAGAAAGCGTGGTTAATCCAGGAGCCACACGAGGACTGATGCCTTCCATATCGGTGTCCTGTATGTGCTCTGCCGTATTCTACCTCCTCTTTTTAAAATGCAAATAGAGAATCCAATCTGAAGAAATAATGCAAAGAAACTCTTTTTGTTGTTGTTTGTTTGAGACAGTCTCGCTCGGTCGCCCAGGCTCTAGTGCAATGGTGCGATCTCGGCTCACTGCAACCTCTGTCTCCTGGGTTCAAGCGATTCTTCTGCCTCAGCCTCCCGAGTACCTGGGACTACAGGCACGTGCCACCACGCCTGGCTAATTTTTGTATTTTTAGTAGAGATGGGGTTTCACCATTTTGGTCAGGCTGGTCTCAAACTCCTGACTTTGTGATCTGCCCGCCTCGGCCTCTCAAAGTGCTGGGATTACAGGCGTGAGTCACCACGTCCGACCGCAAAGGAACTCCTTAGCGCTCCTCAACCACCTCCCTGCCCCTCGCTGTCTTTCTTTCTTTTTTTTTTTTTTTTTTGAGAGGAAGTCTCGCTCTGTCGCCCAGGCTGGAGTGCAGTGGCACCATCTTGGCTCTCTGCAAGCTCCGCCTCCCAGGATCACGCCATTCTCCTGCCTCAGCCTCCCTAGTAGCTAGGACTACAGGCGCCCACCACCAAGCCTGGCTAATTTTTTGTATTTTTAGTAGAGACGGGGTTTCACTGTGTTAGCCAGGATGGTCTCCATCTCCTGACCTCGTCCACCCGCCTTGGTCTCCCAAAGTGCTGGGATTACAGGCGTGAGTCACTGCGCTCGGCCTCGCTGTCTTTCTGGTATCAGCATCCGCCTCCTCCTCCCTCCCAGACTCCAGGCCCTGGGCTCCAGGCACGGTCCATCCCTGTGGCCTCAAGGCACTGGGCACATCCATGCCAGTTTTAGTCTCTGTAACTACACAGCCATGCAGCTGTGAGCTGAGAATTTAACACACTGTCCCTTTCAGTGTCTGTTTCTCCTTCACTTTCCTGTAGCAAAGCAAAAAGGAGGGAAAATGCATCCCAGGTGCCGCCAGCTGCCACTGTTTTTCTTTGTGTGGTGTGTGTGACAGAGTCTTACTTTGTTGCCCAGCCTGGAGTAAAGTGGAGTGATCCCGGCTCGCTGCAACCTCCGCCTCCTGGGTTCAAGCAATTCTCCTGCCTCAGCCTCCTGAGTAGCTGGGATTACAGGCACATGCCACTACATCTGGCTAATTTTTGTATTTTGAGTAGAGACGGGATTTCACCTTGTTGGCCAGGCTGGTGTCGAACTCCTGACCTCAAGTCATCCACCTGCCTCAGCCTCCCAAAGTGTTGAGATTACAGGTGTGAGCCACTGTGCCTGCCCTGCTGCCATGCTTTCAAGCCACTGTTAGGCTTTTCCACATCCCCCAGCATGCACCCACTCTCCCGGGATGGTTAGGGGGCTCCATCACCATTTTCTGGAAACTGCCTCTAGTCAGAGGTTGCCTGGGGCTCTCCACACAATCATGGAGACGTAGAGGACACAGCCTGATGCTAGACTGCACAGGACCCTCTTCCGCCAGATTCCCTGGACACCTCCATCCCCTCTTCTAGCAATCATGTCAGTGCACGGTAGCGCCTGTGTCCTAAGGTTCCCATGCCACAAGGCTTGAACCCTTCACCCCTGTCTCCCGAGGCCAGGATCAAGCCTGCTTGGCCCAGGGGAGGGGGCGATAAATGTCATGGTTGGAAGCATCAGGTGGGAGAGGGCTTAGTGTGGGGTCGTCAGAGTGACACTGAGAGGCTAAGACACACTGTCTGACACAGCCCAGCCAGGCGCTGCCCACAGCTGAGTTTCCAAAGGACACGTTCTGTGTCACCATATTCCAGGATTCAAATCCTTCCAGCCTGGGACAAGTTCCACGGGGTGCCATGAGGCTGCCCCAATTTGATTTTGAAATGTACAGTGAAATGCCTACCTTGGTGGTGGCCAAGGCAGGGTGGGCCCAGATGCCCCTGCTGATGGACACACAGGCACGACACCCACAGTTCAGGGAGCCCGCTCCAGCCTGCCGTGGAGCCCTGGGCCAGGTCGTGAGCCATGAGCCTGCTCGGGACAGTCCTTCCCGATCCTGGAAGGGAGCGGCCCAATTATAACGGCTCCCTCGAGGCTCTCAGTGGAGCCGAGCCCAGAGAGGAGGCCTGCACTGCCAGATGGGCAAACTCATTAGGACTGTGGCATTTTTTATGCAAACGAAGGCAAATACATCCATGGGAGAAATGTAAACAGCAGACACGCACAAGAGCACGGACTTCACCGGGTTTCAAGAGGAGAGGGAGCTGGGACAGGAGGCCAGGAGAGATCCCCACCCCCAGCACTGCCCTGCAGTGGCCTAGCCCAGGCCTTCTGGATCTGCCTACCTGGGATGCCCAAGAGGGAAACTGAGGCCCCACGAGCCCTGCACGTGGGCGGAGCCTGGCCTGACCTGTAGCTCCTTGGGAGGCTGAGGGAGAAGCATTGCTTGAGGCCAGGAGTTTGAGACCAGCCTGGACAACACAGTTAAACCCCATCTGTACAAAACACTAAAAAATTAACCAGGCATGGTGGCGCATGCCTGTGGTCCCAGCTATTCAGGAAGCTGAGATGGGAGGATCACTTGAGCCCATGACTTAGAGGTTATGGTGAGCTGTGATCGTGCCACTGCACTCTAGCCTGGGCAACAGGGTAAGATCCTGTCTTTTAAAATAAATAACATACAATAATATAAAATAAATAAAAATTATAATAAAAATGACTGTAGCGAGAACTCTTAAGGAGAGTCAAGAAGATATTGCAAAGAAACAATATGAAAAAACCAATCTCTTTAAGGGTTCTTCTCATTACAGTTTTTTTTTTTCTGATTCTGTCTTGTTTCTTCACTGGCCAACCCCGCTCTGATGCTTAGCTTGGGTCCCTGCCGCTCAAGCTACTATGTCCTTCCCATCAGTGCTGCTCAGTGTAGTCTTGGACCCATGGCATTCTGGCATCCCCTGGGTGCCTGTTGGAAATGCAGATTCTTAGGCCCTGCCCCAGACCTCCTGACTCAAATCTCTGAGGTGGAGCCCAGGACTGCATATGTTCCAGCTCCCCAGGGGATTCTGTTGAGACCCGGCCTCTATTCTCGGTGGCCTGGCTTTTCCTGCTTCTGTTGGGGGTGAGGCCCCTCCAGACTGAGCTGGTCAGGATCTAGGCTCTTGGCAGCCTGCATGAGGCAGGAGGCAAGTCCCTCTCTCGGGGAAGGCAGTGGCAGGTAAGCAATGGCAGGTGAGTCGGCCAACAAGGCCCTTGCCACTGAGCTGTCCTATGGAGAAGCCCCGTGCCTTTTTCTCAGGGCGCTCTGCGGGTGTGCCTGGGGTCGGACTGAGCCCCAGCAATCTCCCTGCATGTCAGTTACTGCTCTTACTTTCACTGTGGTCCCCGTGGGCTTTTTCAAGGCTCTGTCCTGGCCCAGGGAAAGGTGGACCATGAGACCTCACAGCCAGAAAGAAGCAGCAGCCAACTGAGTTTCCGAATGGATTTGAAGAGCTCACAGCAGAGGAGATACCAGTTTGAAAATCAAGATGTGTTTGATTTGCTTTGGCCATCAAGAGACACATCCTGAAGGACTCTGTCTCAACATTTTTCTACATAAAAAAAGAGTGGGGAAGAATGCAGGTTGGTGGGAGCTGGGAGATAAGGTCCACAGGCCAGGAGAGGGCCCCCAGGCTGGGTCGTGTGAGGCAGTGTCCATCTGAGAAGGAAAGTCTGCTGGCTGCAGGGTCCCAGCACCCAGGAGCTAGAGGAGAGGGGGTGGGAGGGAGAGCAGCTACGTGTCCCTGGGTTTCTTGAGCGAGGACTGATAAACCCCAGGGGCACGTGTAGCTGCCACAAAAGCATGCACCTCGAGTGCTTCCCCCTCCTAGCTGGCGGGAGAGGAAGGGACCAGGATGGAGGCGAGCTTGGCAAAGTCTTTCTGGAATCAGCATCCTCCTCCTCCTCCTTCCCAGACTCCGGGCCCCAGGCTCCAAGCACAGTCCATCCCTGCGGAGGACTTCCGTGGATGCTGGTGGGCACAGATGCCAGCCCATCATGTGCTACTCAGGCAGATGCTAGGGAGCCAGGGGCCAGTCATCGTTCTCCCTGATGCCAGGGCACCACTCTGAGGAAAGGGAGAGAAGGACAGGTTGGTCTAAATCCACCTGCAGGATCTGAGTGACCGTACATGGGGCTGGGGGCTGAAATTTTCTGAGAGGGACTGGATTACATTTTCAGAAATTGGAATCAGAAATTAAAACTGTGTTATGAAAAATAATGAGTTACATTTTGCACATGTGATGTTTGAGCCGGATAATTTGTGTTTGCCGCCTTTATACTTGAATGTGAAAGCACCTTGCACAGCACTTGGCATAAAGTCAGTGCCCAGTGATTACTAGTGAATGCCTTCCTAACTGTGTACATGGCCTGAATGCACACGAACACACGATGGAAACAGTCAGGGAGTGGAGAGGGTGTCCTGCTGATTACTAGTGAATGCCTTCCTAACTGTGCGTGGTCTGAATGCACACAAACACAAGATGGAAACAGTCAGGGAGCGGAGATGGTGCCCCGCTGATGCTGTCCTATTATTTTTATTCAGAAGTCTGTTTGCCTTTTTACACATTTTTGATCCTACCATATAAACGATTTTTATAACATTCATGTTATGTTACATTCACATTTATTGCTAATTTTTATAACATTAGTACAAGATGATTGAATTCCTCCTTGGTCAGAAGACCCACGTCTGAATCCTGGATCCACTACTTGTTAGTTGAAGCAAGCAACTGTGCCTCTCAGTCTGTGAAAAGGAGGCAATGCCTAGCTCAGGAGGCTGACAGGATGAAGTCGGAGAGGAATGAATGGAAGTCTCTTGGGACTCAGGCCTGCCTGATACTTTCTGGGCAGCTTAAAATATGTTTTCTGAATGTTAAGGGAAGCACAGAGCAGGCATGCATGCAGATGGGGGTGAAATATTACTTCCATTCTTCCATGTGTGAGTCCTAAACACACACCACCTCCCCCACACACAAACAGACCTACAACACATGCCACACGTAACACAGGCACAGGCACACGCACACGCACCGCAGCAACACACACTGCACGCACACACAACACAGACTGTAACACATACACACGTATACCACCTACCACACTACACAAGGCCCCACATTCACATGATACACATGTACCACATGCACATATATGACCCGCATCACCAACAAACACACGTGCATCATGTGTACACATACACATCATAGGTACACATCACATGCACACATGGCCCACAGGAACACACACATATGCCACATACTGCATGCATGCACATCCACAACACACGCAATACAGGCACATACAAGCCATATGTAGACACTGCGTGCACACACATTTACACCACACTACATGCACACACCATATTCACACATACTTGCACACACACCACTGATACACATACTTCCACACATGTCCGCAGCCTGCATGCACAAACCATATTATGCACACACACCCCATATACTATTAGGTTGGTGCAAAAGTAATCGCAGCTTTTGCCATTACTTTCAATAGCAAAAACTGCGATTACTTTTTTTTTTTGAGACACAGTCTTACTCTGTCGCCCAGGCTGGAGTGCAATGGGGTGATCTCAGCTCACCGCAGCCTCTGCCTCTGGGGTTCAAGTGATTCTCCTGCCTCAGCCTCCCCAGTAGCTGGGATTACAGGTGTGCGCCACCACTCCTGGCTAATTTTTGTATTTTTAGTAGAGACGGGGTTTCACCATGTTGGCCAGGCTGGTCTTGAACTCCTGACCTCAGGTGATCTGCACACCTCGGCTTCCCAAAGTGCTGGGATTACAGGCGTGAGCCACCATGCCCAGACAAAAACCGTGATTACTTTTGCACCAACCTGATACGTGTGCACAGACAAGTTCGGTAAGCAGGCATTGCAATAATTAAAGATGACACGAGGTGGCACCATGACACTTTTACTCAGAAATTTTATTTGCCTATTTTTATACAGTTGTGATTATACTCTATATTAGTAGTTCTCAAAGTGTAGCCAAAACTATTTTCATAATAATGGTAAGATGTGATTTGCCTTTTTTCATTCTTATTCTCCCATGAGTATACAGTGGAATTTTCCAGAGATGCTGTGATGTGTGACATTGTAACAGATTGAAGGCAAAAGCAGATCTGAGAATCAGCTCAGACATCTACCTAGAGATTTGCCAGCGGCAATGCAACTCACTAATTTTGCAGAAGATATTGTTGCTTTCCATACAAAATTATTTATTGTTAACATACAACAATGGGTTTGTTGTTTTTAATTTAAAAAATTGAGCAATTTGAATTCTTTTTAAAGCTTATTTTTAATTGAAAATGAAATTATTTAACGTGTACAACATGATGTTTTGAAATATGTAGACACTGTGGAATCATTACTATTTTAAAATAAGTAAATATTTCAAAACCTCCTCAAATTTAATCTGTATTACAGTAAAATTGATAGATGCAATTCACGTAAAGTTCCTTAGGGTCCACAGGAGATTTTCAGAGTATAAAGCTATCCTGAGAAAGAATATTTAACAATCACTCTTCTATATGTAATCACATGTCCACAAATACTTTTGAGGTTAATCATTTATTTTAAATTTATAAGGAACCAACAAGAACAAAGAAAAGGAAAACACTTGTAATCCTATTGCATGGGGACAAGAGACAATCACGACTGACATTTGCCAGGTTTTCTCCTAGTTGTGTTTCAGAGCATCTGTTTCCAGGTTAGTGTGTTCTGAATACAGGCTCTGTGTCCTACGCTCTGAATATGAGCCCCGCGTCCTAGCCTCTGGGTATAAGCCTTGTGTCCTAGGTTCTGGGTATAAGCCCCGGGTCCTAGGTTCTGCATATAAACCTTGTGTCCTAGGCTCTGGGTATAAGCCTTGCTTCCTAGGCCCTGGGTATAAGCCTAGGGTCCTAGACTCTGGGTATAAGCCCCGGGTTCTAGGCTCTGGGTGTAAGCCCCGCCTCCTAGGCTCTAGGTGTAAGGCCTGGGTCCTAGGCTCTGGGTAGAAGCCCCGGGTCCTAGGCTCTGGATACAAGCCTTGTGTCCTAGGCTCTGGGTATAAACCTTCTGTCCTAGGTTCTGGGTATAAGCCTTGTGTCCTATTCTCTGGTTCTCAGCCCCTTGTCCTAGGCTCTGGGTATAAATCTTGTGTCCTAGACCTTGGGTTAAACCCCATGTCCTAGGCTCCGGGTATAAGCCCTGTGTCCTTTCTGCATATAAGCCTTGTGTTTCCTAGGCTCTGGGTATAAGCCCCATGTCCTAGGCTTTGAGTATAAGCCCCATGTCCTAGGCTCTGGGTATAAACCTTGTGTCCTAGGCTCTGAGTATAAGCCCCACGTCCTTTCTGGGTATAAGCCTTGTGTCCTAGGCTCTGGGTATAAGCCCCATGTCCTAATCCCTGGGTATAAGCCCCGGGTTCTAGGCCCTGAATATAAGTTCTGTGTCCTTTCTGGTTATAAGCCTTGTGTCCTAGTCTCTGGGTATAAGCCCCATGTCCTAGGCCCTGGTTATAAGCCCCGAGTTCCAGGCCCTGGGTGTAAGTTCTGTGTTCTTTCTAGGTATTAGCCTTGTGTCCTAGGCCCTGGGCATAAACCTGTGTCCTAGGCCCTGGGTATATGCCCCAGGTTTTAGGCCGTGGGTATAAGCCCCAAGTCCTAGGCTCTGGATAGAAGCCCTGGGTTCTTGGTCCTGGGTATGAGCCCCATATCCTAGGTCACCAACCAGATTGAGAGCCCAGTCAAAGTTCTTTCTCATGGTGTGTCTAGGACGTCAGAAAACCTAGAGATGTGGCCGGACTCTGAGCCCCCTGAAAAGGGTTCCCAGACCTTTTGTGAGAGGGAGGCTTTGTCTGCCCAGAGCCCACCTAGTCTTGGAGTCTTGGAAGGCTGCCCGGCACCTCAGGTAGGCCTGTTTGCACCTCAGCCTCACCCTGGTCTGGGTATCCACTCCATACAGACATGTTTTTAAAAATTGAGGAATAGCTTTGTGCAGTGGCAGTATCATAGCCAATGAGGTTTATCCGAGGCGTGATTATTGCTAATTGAAAAATTGAGGAATAGTTTAGTAAAACACACAGATCTTAAATATATAATTCAATGGCTTTTTACAAATATCTATCTGTAGCCAACACCCCAATCAAGGCAGAAAACATTGCCACCATTGTAGAAAATTCCCCCCAATCCCTTTACAGTCTACTCAACTTCCCTTGTCCCCTAATCCCCAAGCAGCCACTATTCTGATTTGCATTCCAGAAAAGTAGTTTTTCTGGATTTTTTTTTAACTGACTTTCGCTCTTGTCGCCCAGGCTCGAGTGCAGTGGCGCAATCCTGACTCACTGCAACTTCCACCTCCTAGGTTCAATCAATTCTCCTGCCTCAGCCTCCCAAGTAGCTGGGATTAGAGGCGTGCACCACCACGCCTGACTAATTTTTGTATTTTTAGTAGAGACGGGGTTTCACCATGTTGACCAGGCTGGTCTTGAACTTCTGACCTCGGGTAATCCGCCCACCTCTGCCTCCCAAAGTGCTGGGATTACAGGTGTGAGCCACCGTGCCCAGCCTGGTTTTGAATTTAATAAATCTGTATGACATCCTTTGTATGGCTCCTTCAGTTCAAAACACTGTGTTTTTGTTGTTGTTGTTGTAGAGATGGAGTCTTGATCCATTGCCCAGCCTGCTTTCAAACTCCTGGGCTCAAGCAATCCTCTGCTCTTGGCCTCCCAAGTGTTGGGACTGCAGGTGTGAGTCATCGCACCAGCCAGAGTCCAATCGTGTCTCTAGTGAGAGCAGCCACTTTAATATAAAGGCTCAGGAATTCCTCCTCATGTTTGCTGCAGTGGCACTTGCCCTCTGAGTATCAGTTAGCTATTGTCACACTTATGCTGTGTAACAAACCATCCCCACATCTCAGTGGCAAACAGTAATAATCATTTATTTCTTACTCATGAGTTTGTGGGTTGGCTGGGCAGCTCTGCTCCACATGCCTCTCATCCTCTTCCTGGGACCAGCAGGGGCAGTTTCGTCTCTGGCTGATGGCAGGGCCCTGAGAGACGGCACATCTAACCCCACAAACACATTTCCAGTTTTGCTGTGTCATGCCTGCTGGCATCCCTTTGGCCAAGCCCAAAGTCAAGGGGTGGGAAAGGGAGGCTATGGCGAGGGTGTGAGTGTGGGTGAAAAACTGGGGCGGGTCATTCAATCTATGTTACCAGTTTCCTGACAATGTAAGTTAAGAGAAAGAGCTTTGTGGCTGACGCCTGTAATTCCAGCACTTTGGGAGGCCGAGGTGGGCAGATCACAAGGTCAGGAGATGGAGACCATCCTGGCTAACACGGTGAAGCCCTGTCTCTACTAAAAATACAAAAAATTAGCCAGGCGTGGTGGCGGGCACCTGTAGACCCAGCTACTCGGGAGGCTGAGGCAGGAGAATGGCGTGAACCCGGGAGGCGGAGCTTGCAGTGAGCTGAGATCATGCCACTACACTCCAGCCTGGGCGACAGAGCGAGATTCTGTCTCAAAAAAAAAAAAAAAAGGTAAAACTGGTTTGGTTTGCTAGTCCAATTATTTAGTGAATCAGTCCAGTTTATTAGAAATCCCAATGAGGTTGTTTTCAGAAGTGAGACAGGTCTGACCGGATCATTTGCAGAAAGCTCTGTTCTTGCTTTGGGACAGTCCTGCCCGCACTGGGAATGTGAATTTAATCGCCGTTCTCTCGCCGCTGCTCCTGCCCGCCTGGGACCAATTCCCTACCACACTGAGCTCATTGGAGACTTTAGTTTCATATTTTTAAGACCAGTTTAGTGCATCATCTCTGTCTTTATTTCTCCCTCCAGCACTTACTGTAGTTGATCTCTTTTATTTTCTTAGATTCTTTGGGGGGAGTTTATAGGTGGGATGAACCCATATATGCATGAAAATGTCTTTATTTTGCACCCCCAATTTAAGGCTAGATTGGCTGGGTCTTGGATCCTAGATTACGAATAGTTTTTTCTTTGGAATGTTAGAGAAATTGCTCTACTATCTTTTAGGATTCGGGATTGATGATAAGTCTTGATGTCAAGCTGACTTTCATTCTATTGTGACAACCTATTCTCTCGGTCAGAAAACTATGAGGATTTTCCTTTTTTCCTTGGTATTCCAAAATTTTGCTGCAATGTGCCTAGATTTCTAAAATTCCACTTTACTTTTTTTTTTTTTTTGAGATGGAGTCTTGCTTTGTCATCCAAGCTAGAGTGCAGTGGGGTGATCTCAGATCACTGCAACCTCCGCCTCCTGGCTTCAAGTGATTCTCCTGCCTCAGCCTCCCAAGTAGCTGGGATTACAGGTGCGCCACCATGCCAGGCTAATTCTTGTATTTTTAGTAGATAAGGGGTTTTGCCATGTTGGCCAGGCTGGTCTTGAACTCCTAGCCTCAAGTGACTGTCTCAGCCTCCCGCTTTATTTAATTAATTTATTTTGAGACGGAGTCTCTCTCTGTTGCCCAGGCTGGAGTGCAGTGGTGCAATCTCGGCTCACTGCAAGCTCTGCCTCCTGGGTTCACGCCATTCTCTTGCCTCAGCCTCCCGAGTAGCTGGGGCTACAGGCACCCGCCACCATGCCCGGCTAATTTTTTTTGTATTGTTTTAGTAAACACAGGGTTTCACTGTGTTAGCCAGGATGATCTTGATCTCCTGACCTCATGATCCACCCACCTCGGCCTCCCAAAGTGCTGGGATTACAGGCGTGAGCCACCACACCTGGCCATGAGTTCCCTGTCCTTCTCAGGGACAGGGAGTCAGTGATTCCTGGGGAGACTGTCTTTCTTCTCTGGACCAAGTATTCGCACTTTCTATATCAACTGGGGGCAAATGCTGTGCGATGCTGGTGACCTTGCTGATTTATTCCCAGAACATGATGCATTTCCTTCCCCTTTCTTTCCCTTTTGTGCTACTTCTAATTAAGGAAGATATTTCTGTCATTTATGGGATTTTGGTTCGGAGGGAGGTCAATCAGGGGTGCTTGTTCCTCCATCTGGCCCTGATCTGCGTTTTTAGCAAAACAACTGAGTTTGGAAGTTTGAAACTAATGACATTAGGGCTGGGAAATTTCTTAATGTAAATATATTTTAGCAGAGTTAATGAAAACTTGGAGTGCTTACAAAGTTGGATATCTTACATGTGTGACAAATTATATATAAACCAGATTTCATTTCCTGTTTTTTTTTTTATTTTTTCTTCTTTTTAATCAGCAAAGGAAAAATGGCAAGAAAACCAAGTCTCTTATCTTATAACTACACATTTTAGGGGAGAATGCATATTGAAACATTTTCAACATTTGCTGTTAAAATGAATACAATTTTACAAAAAGAACCCCCCCCCACACACACAAAGCATAAAGTTCTAGGCGATGATGAGCCCCTCATTCAGAAATGGTCCAGGCTTTGCCTCCGGGAGCCCGTTGGCCCCAGCCTGCTGCTGTTGGCAACCGCAGTGCCGTTTCCCTCACACATCTCTCATCACTATGGTGATTCTTGTTAAATAAAGTGAGCAGTCCCGATCATGTGCACTAGTGCCTTCTTCTGCGTTTAATCTGTGGCTGTCAGTTTCCACAACCCATCTATTCAATAAAGATTTGTTGATTATCTACTATGTGCTTGGGCCCAGTGACGCAAAGATGAATAGGACAAGATGCTTGCCCTTGAGGAAGCTTCATGTAGGGGAGAAGAGGCAGAACAGTTAGATTCCATGGATCCTCTGGCATTTGGAGTCCAACTTTACATGTTTTTGTGAAGTGACTGAATTTAACAATGTCTTATGCTTGTATAATTTTTCAAAAAATATGTTTAACTTTCAAATGGGAGATGCATGACATAGTTCAAACCATCAAAATGATATGAAAAGATATCCCCACCTGCTCATTCTCCTTCCCCCACCTCCCCCTCTAGGCAACCTTTTTCTTTGAGACAGTCTTGCTCTGTTGCCCAGGTTGGAGTGCAGTGGAGCGATCTTGGCTCACTGCAAGCTCCGCCTCCCGGGTTCACGCCATTCTCCTGCCTCAGCCTCCCGAGTAGCTGGGACTACAGGCACCCCCCACCACGCCCAGCTAATTTTTTGTATTTTTAGTAGAGACGGGGTTTCACCATGTTAGCCAAGATGGTCTCAATCTCCTGACCTTGTGATCCGCTCATCTCGGCCTCCCAAAGTGCTGGGATTACAGGCGTGAGCCACCACACCTGGCCATATATATATATATATGGAGTGTCGCTCTGTCACCCAGGCTGAAGTGCAATGGTGTGATCTTGGCTCACTGCAACCTCTGCCTCCCGGTTTAAGCAATTCTTCTGCCTCAGCCTCCTGAGTAGGTGGGATTACAGGCATGCGCCACCACGCCTGGCTAATTTTTGTATTTTTAGTAGAGACGGGGTTTCACCATGTTGGCCAGGCTGGTCTTGAACTCCTGACCTCAGGTGATCTGGCCGCCTTGGCCTCCCAAAGTGCTGGGATTACAGGCGTGAGCCACCGCGCCCGGCCGAGTCAGAATATTTCTAACCCTTTCTTATTTCCCAGTACCAACAAATATTTGCACCCTTTTTTTCAAAGTACTGTATTTGTTTTTGGGTACTATTAAAGTTTCTATTCGCAAAAGGAAAGCCACCCGTCAGTGGACAATGTGGTACACTTGCTGTGTGGTGTTCAGATGAGAACGCACTGAGGGAACTAAGTGTCGCAGGGGTGATGTGGAGGGCAGGCTGGCTGGGGTCCACATTCAAGCTGTCGAGCACCCGGAGGGAAGATCAGGGCCAGACTGTGAAGAACGTGAGCTGCCATGCACTCAGAGCTCTGGGTTTTTCCTGCAAGCAATGGGCAGCCACAGAGGGTTTCACAAAGGAGGAAGGAGGAGGCCAGAACTCCGTTAAGGCAGATGTGAATTCCAGTGGCTGTGAAGGATGGGGAAGAGACTGCAGTGATTCTGTAACTTTTAATTGCTCCATTTACCTGCTATGGTAGCACATGAATGCTACCACTCCTTACATGACATGGAGGGGCCTGGGGAGAAACCCTGGGGACGAGGAATCTCTCTACAATGC
The DNA here is from genome assembly GCF_000001405.40 of Homo sapiens. Classification (NCBI taxonomy): domain Eukaryota; kingdom Metazoa; phylum Chordata; class Mammalia; order Primates; family Hominidae; genus Homo; species Homo sapiens. The sequence goes on along the minus strand of NC_000005.10, from coordinate 179,487,072 downwards.
TTTCCGACTGCAAAGGTTGAGGGCCACTTTCCCACTGGCTTCCTCAAGAGCGGTCCTTGTCATCGCCATGCAGTGCATGTTGATTCAAACACTATGTGAGTCACTTCAGGCTCACAGAGCAGCTGGTGCCTCAGAACCAGGGCTCCGTATCCTCGAATCGAAGCGTGAGATTGTTTATCCCTTTCAAGGGAGCAAACCATTAGTGGGGCAATACCTTGTTCCAGACACGGTGAAGAGGGGGCGGCAGGGCTGAGAAGAGAAGCCCAGCTTCCCGAGGCTCTGCTCAGCTGCCTTCTGCCCACCCAGTGGCCCTGCCAGCTGTGTTCGTCTGGCTCCTCAAGCAGCGATGCTGTGTGCGGTTTCCATGGCAGTGGGCCCCGGAGGGCAGCCGGGGACACAGCCAGGTGGCTCGCAGCTCACCTGACTGGCTGTTGGCAGGAGGCAGGCGGCCTCCTTCTGCTCCTCTGTTCCTGGAGCTTTCAGAATGTCTTCAGTTACTCCCTTTAGGAGTCTGATCTCTGTGTGAGAGAAACTTAAAGTTCTGGGCTTATAAAGGGTACACTTTATCTCCGAGCGATTGCCTGGCAGTCATGCAGAATGCCAGGGCGGAAAAGTACCGGGAAAGCGCACATCTCTGCAAGGGAGGCTGGAACTCAGGGGCCCAGCTTCCCACGGTGGGCAGCAAGAGCACGCTTTGCACAGAGGAAAGACAGGCTCCGCCTGCAAGGGCCACAGGATGACCTTCACAGGGCCATTGGCACCCGGCCCTTGGGGCTCAGGGTCTGGCATCTTTGATTCATGAACTCAAGAAAACTGTGTGGGTCAGAGTTGCCTCCTGCAGCACACAACTGCTGGCTTACTCACTGTCTTCGCTCCAGGGAGGACTCATCACAGGGTTATTAGGAATCCAGAATCTAGTGGGGGAAACAAAAGCTCTCAAACAGAGAAGAAGTCAAAGTCAGGTCCAAGTTCACGTTGAGCCTTTTCAGCAAGTGCTTCCTGCTCCAAGTTGTAGGCTGTGGCTGCTGAGCTCCCAGCCTGGGGTACTGGGCAAGCCAGGCATGGGGCTCGGCCCTCAGGGTGGGTTCTGGCAGACCACAGGCTTTATGCGAGGAGCTAACACTTAAAAGAATTGCTTGACAGGGATGGAGAGAAAGGCCTGGGGCCAAGGACTCAGGCTCTGTCTCCAGAAATGAAGATGTTCCAGCAGTTTCCATCCAATAGAGACATGAATGTTGGGTCCGCTGGAACACGAGACAGAGCAAAGCTCTTCCTATCTGCTTAGGACCCTAAAGAAATGGCCCTGGGGCCACCTGTTCTTCTAGACTTGTTGAAGGATCAACAGCGGAGTGAAACATATTTTAGTATCAAGCACCACCGGGAAACAAAAAATAAAACTCACTGGGCCGGGCGCGGGGTCTCACGCCTGTAATCCCAGCACTGTGGGAGGCTGAGGCGGGCGGATCACGAGGTCAGGAGATCAAGACCAGCCTGGCTAACAGGGTGAAACCCCGTCTCTACTAAAAATACAAAAAATTAGCTGGGCGTGGTGGCGGGCGCCTGTAGTCCCAGCTACTCGGGAGGCAGAGGCAGGAGAATGGCGTGAACCTGGGAGGTGGGGCTTGCAGTGAGCGGTGATCACGCCACTGCACTCCAGCCTGAGTGACAGAGCGAGACTCCATCTCAAAAAAATAAAAAAAATAAAAATAAATAAAACTCACTTGAAGACCACACACGAGACAAAAGCAGATTTCGTTTTCTTAAGGGGCAACATCTTTTTTGCGCTAATCACCTACCATTAAATCATGAACAAAGACAGTGAAATTCCTGTTGGTAACCCCCAAACTAATTAAGTACATTTCTTGGGTTCTGTATTATGAGCAGTTAGAGGAGACGGAGAGGGAGGGGTAAGTCCATTCAATCGCACTGCAGGAAAACAGTTTTGAAGTACTTACTAGGTTTTAGGTTCCAAAGTAGGAACTGAGAGACCTAGCCCATGTCCCCAGTGGCTGGGGTTTGCTGGGCATTCAGGAAAGCAAGCGGCCAGCCAGTAGGTAGATGGAGGCCCAATGCCCTGGTCCTGGGGCAGCGGCTGGAATGAGAGGGCCGGCCGGCATGGGGGTGTGGACTCCATGTTGCCCACAGAAGAGGCCTTTAAACAGGACAGATGGGATTCTCAGAGACCACCCTGGCTGGTGGCTGGGGCAGGGGAGATGAGACTGTCATGGAGACAGAGAATCTAGTGAGACGTCTGCAGTGGAAAGCCAGAGGGCAAACAGTGGAGGTGTGAGTGGAGGGTGGGTGCGAATTCTCAAAACCCCTGGGCTGGCCCAATGCCTGGGTATAGGAGGAGAGAGAGGGAGGAGCCTGGCCAGACTCCGCAGCTTCTGGCCTGGGCAGCAGCAAGGAAGACCATGCCATTCACCAGGATGAGGACTGGGAGGGCGCCTCGGGGGGTGTGTTGGTGTAGGATAGTGGGAAAGAGAATGATGAGTTTGAATTTAATTGATTTTATTAGGTAGTGTATTGGTCAGGGCTCTACCACAGAAACAGAAGCAGTATGTATATCCATATATACAGAGAGAGAGAGATGCATTGCAAGGAACTGGCTTCCCCAAAGGTGGGGCTGTCAGGGCAAGTCAGGAATCCGTAGGCCAGGGCACTGGAAGGGCAGGCGGGAACTCTCTGGCAGGCGCCGACGCTGCAGTCCAGACAGGGTTTCTCCTTCCTCAGGGAAGCCTCAGTTCTGCTCAAGGCCTTTCATCCTATTGGATGAGGCTGACCCAGGTTACCAAGGATAATCTCCTTTTCTTAAAATTGGCTGACTGCAGACGTGATTTGCATCTACAAAATGCCTTACAGAACACCTAGGCTAGTGTTGAGTTTGTTAGAATCAATTAAAATGAAGACCAGGTCTGAAGAATCCTTGAGCAGACAAAGCCAGTTAGGCCTATATGCGACCTTCACCTTGTTTGATTTGCAAACATAAGTGAAACTTAACTTGAGCTATTTCTTATAAATGTCTATGTTAAAGAGAAACAGAACTTAAGCTCAACTAGTCAGAATCAGCCAAAAAACTTCTCATTATATAACTAAGGACTTTCCAGTGGGATAGACCAAATAAGGCAACTTATAATTATAACCAATTAAATATTTTCTCAGCATCTCTTCCACATTTACCCTAAAACATCTGTGCCTCTGCGTCCTCAGTGCAACCCTCCAACCACCTCTGGTTTGGAGCTGCCTGATTCGTGAATCACTCTTTGCTCAAATAAACTCTTTAACATTTTATTGTCTTGGTTTACTTTTTTAACAGATTAAATAACCGAGTACTATTGTCTAGCCAAGTTGACACCTAAAGCTGACCATCGTGGCCAGGTGCCGTGGCTCACATCTGTAATCCCAGCACTCTGGGAGGCTGAGGTGAGAGGATCACTTGAGCCCAGGAGTTCAAGACCAGCCTGGGGAACACGGCAAAACCCCGTCCCTACAAAGCATGATTAGCTGCATGTGGCGGTGCATACCTGTAGTCACAGCTACTTGGGAGGCTGGAGTAGGAGGATTGCTTGAGCCCAGAGCAAGGCCTCCCCCCCCCCCCCTTTTTTTTTTTTTTGAGATGGAGTCTCGCTCTGTTGCCCAGGCTGGAGTGCAGTGGCACAATCTTGGCTCACTGCAACCTCCGCCTCCTGGGTTCATGCCATTCTCCTGCCTCAGGCTTCTGAGCAGCTGGGACTACAGGTGCCCACCACCACGCCCGCCTAATTTTTTTGTATTTTTAGTAGAGACGGGGTTTCACCATGTTAGCCAGGATGGTCTCAATCTCCTGACCTTGTGATCTGCCCGCCTCGGCCTCCCAAAGTGCTGGGATTACGGGCGTGAGCCACCGTGCCCAGCCAGCCCTGTCTTAAAAAAAAAAAAAAAAAGGACAAAAACACAAAACCAAGTAATTATAATCTGTTGCCCAGGATGAAGTGCAGTGGCGTGATCATAGCCCGCTGCAATCTCAAACTGGGGAGAACTAGCAGGAGTTTGAGATGGGAGGAAAACACTTATAATCACCCTCTACAACGTGTATATATCACTTTATGCTCCTCACAGCTCTCCCTAAAGGAAACCACGGTGAAAGAGTTTCTGTGTCTCCATCCACACATGGGAGGGGGATTTGGACAGGAAACAGAAACGGGGGGTCCTTAGCAACTGGGTAAGATGGGAAGCCATGGGACCCAGGGAGGGTGTGAAAGTCACGAGACGCAGAGGAGAAGGGCAGAACTCTGGGGACACCGTGAGTAGGCGACAGGGTGGAAGGGAAACCAGGAGTGGGGGCACATGGAAGCCTCAGTCAATAGAATCCCAACGAGCTGGTGCACGCTGAGTCCAGAGCAGGTGGCCAGGCAGCCCCCCTGGCTGCACGGCAGAGGGACAGGGAGCAGGGGTGCCAGGGTGGATGATGTTCTTCACACCCAGTTCTGCAGGAAGAAACACCCCACCCTGCAGTCAAGGCTGGGGGCCTTGCTAAGAGCAGGTCAAGGGTATGCTGAAGAAGAAGGAATCAAAGCTTCTATGTTGTGCTGCTGACAGCAGGGGGCAAGGGTGGTTGACACTTTGTTTAAGGTTCACCATCATGAGTTTCTGGTTGAGCAAAGGTTTTCCTGGAGCCTTATTTGGGATTGTGCATAAGAATTTGAGGATGAGGGGTTGACACCATGTAAGGAGGGAGGAGGAGACCCAGCCTATGGCAAGAGGTGGCATGAGGAGTAAAGACGATCAGTGAGATCATCTCGCATAGGGTGGTGGTTCAGGGGCTTGGCAGACGTGACCCACTCCTCAGTTTTACACTGTGCCCTGTTGTGTACAATGGTGGACCCAACCCTATGCCCCCTACTTCTCCAAAAGCTGGAGGGACAGTCTGTATAGCATGACAAAAAAAATGTCTACCAAGTGCATGTGAAGGCCTTGGCCACTGTGCTGGGCCCCTGCCAGTTGTGGCGACCCTTACAGGTGCCCTAACTCCTCCCTGGAGCAGGATCTTTCCAGGCCCCACATCAAATGAAGGCCCAGGGCACTTGCAGATATGGTGGTTACTGGCTTAGCCCATCAATCTCTCAGGGGGATTCGAATGGGAAGGAGTACTTCCCTCTAACACGCAGCCCATGTCCTGGACCTGGAGTTGCCTGTTTCCAGTCATCTTCTGAGGCCCAGAGGAACAAGTACCATGACTTATGTATCTCTTTATGGAGACAGATCTCCTGTCTGCCATCTTTTCTTTCCCAGGCCTTCTCTCTTGATACCCTTGGCTGTTCTGATAAGCTTTGGCCTTTCACTTCCTTAGGCATACTAATCAGAAAGTCCCTCTGTTTTATGGTAAAGATTTTTTTTTTTCCCTAGAGTTCATGGGATGAAGCTTCTAAAGCTCTTGGAATTCTCCAAGTGACAAGCATGTGTTTGTTATTCATGGTGACCCTTGGACCACATCTGAGTTTATGCTATCAAGACACAGGATGGGCCAGGCGTGGTAGCTCACACCTGTAATCCCAGCACTTTGGGAGGCCGAGGCAGGAGGATTGCTTGAGGCCAGGAGTCTGAAACCAGCCTGGACAACATAGATCTCATCTCAAGCAAAGCAAAACAAAACAAAACAAAACAAAACAAACCACCACCCAACACCCAGGATTCTCCTGCTAATAGCTGGCCTGGGATCAAAGAACTTACCCAAATATTAGTAACTTAATAGCTATAACTTCAAATTCATACAAAATACTGTAAGAAAAACCCTGAAAAAGAGAATTTCTCTGCAGACGAAGAAAATATATCAGAAAAGTGTTGCCAAAGGCGGAGGAAAATTGCACTCCAAACTTCCAACATATATTAAGAAAAAAAACCTCAATGAAATAGTTGCAACTATAAAGACCACAAAGCAGAAATGCAAGAACTTACGATAGAAATAGCCAGACAAGAGGAAGAGATGACCAGATAGCAGGTGGACATTATGGACTGGTAGAATTAGAAAAAAAATGAGAAGAAAAGGCCAACCTATTTCAGAATGAACATGAAGTTAAAAGGAGTTTAAGAGAGATAGAGTTGAAAGTATGCTAAGGCAAATAGATGACAGAAATGAGGAAAAAGCATGAACTAGAAGTAAAGGGATGAAGCAGGTTAGAAATACCAGGAAAAGTGGTAAAAGCCTTTGAAATGGACCAGAAGAATGATTAGGTGTCTTCAGTGGAAAACTGCTTTGGATCACAGTGTAAAATGAAGCACTCTCTTCTGGGCCACCCACTTTTGGGTTTGTGCTTTTCATTGTCTTTGTGCTGTTTTGTAATTTTGTAAACTGTAGATAAGCAACAGCAATGCAAAGGATTTTTATCTGTAGATGTGCAAATTAATTCTTTCTGGTAGAAAGAACACTTGATTCCCCATCGTGGCAGGCAGAGTAATGGACCCCCAAAGATATCCACAGTTTGAGTATGTTACTTTACGCGGCAAAACAGACTCTGCATATGTAAATTAGGTAAAGATCTTGAGGTGAGGAGATTACCCTGAATTATCTCGGAGGGCCCGGTGTAATCACAAGGCTCCTTCTAGGAGGAAGGCAGGAGGGCTGGGGTTAGGGCAGGAGATGTGGCTTTGGAAGCAGAGGGTGCAGTGAGGCCTGGCCATGAGCCAAGGGATGAGGGCAGCCTCTAGAAGTGGGAAAGGCAAGAAAACAGGCTCTCTCTCTTTTTTTTTTTTTGAGGCAGAGTCTCGCTCTGTTGCCCAGGCTGGAGTGCAGCGGTGCAATCTCGGCTCACTGCAAGCTCCGCCTCCTGGCTTCAGGCCATTCTCCTGCCTCAGCCTCCAGAGTAGCTGGGACTACAGGCGCCCGCCACCACACCCGGCTAATTTTTTGTATTTTTTTTAGTAGAGACGGGGTTTCACCGTGTTAGCCAGGATGGTCTCAATCTCCTGACCTCGTGATCTGCCTGCCTCGGCCTCCCAAAGTGCTGGGATTACAGGCGTAAGCCACTGCGCCCGGCCAGAAAACAGGCTCTCATGGGGCCTCCCGAAGGAACTCTGCTCTGTCCACCCACTTTGGACTTCCCATCTCCAGAACTGCAAGACAATACATTTGCTGTTTTAAGCCACTTACATTTGTGATAATTTGTTATAGCAGCAAGAGGAAGCTAATGCAAACCCTACCAAAAAAGAGCCAATTTGATATATATTTATACATCCACTTCATGATCCATAGGTGTCTCTGTTCTTTGAATTCTCCTTTAAACTAGTTGTGGTAGCTTACTGATTTTTTCATTCATTCACGAGTTGAGTCAAATATTTTAAATGTGTGTATTTTTATTTATTTGTTTATTTATTTCGGAGACAGTCTCACTCTGTAACTTGGGCTGGAGTGCCGTGGTGTGATCACGGCTCATGGCAGCTTTGAACTCCTGCACTCAGGTGATCCTCCTGCCTCAGCCTCCTGAGGAGCTTGGACCACAGGCACATGCCACTATGCCCGGCTAATTATTTTTTAATTTTTGTAGGGACAGAGTCTCAGCATGAATGAGAAGAGACAGCAGACACGAACACTGAGATGACACAGATGTTAGAATTATCTGATAAGAATTTTAAAGCAGCTGTCATAAAATGGTGCAATGTGCACATTATGAATGCGCTTGAAACCAATGAAAAAGGAGAAAGTCTAGGCAAAGAAATAGATGATATTAAGAAATAAATGAGGCCAGGCACAGTGGCTTATGCCTGTAATCCCACCACTTTGGGAGGCCGAGCTGGGCGGATCACCTGAGGGAGTTTGGGACCATCCTGGCTATCACGGTGAAACCCCGTCTCTACTGAAAATACAAAAAAATTAGCCGGGCATGGTGGGGTGCACCTGTAATCCCAGCTCCTTGGGAGGCTGAGGCAGGAGAATCACTTGAACCCAGGAAGCAGAGGTTGCAGTGAGCCAAGATTGCGCCACTGAACTCCAGCCTGGGCGAAAAAGAGTGAGACTCCATCTCAAAAAAAAAAAAAAAAAAAAAAAAAAGTAAGGATAAAATATAGAATAACAATATAAAAACTCAATGGATGGGTTTAACAGCAGAATGGAGAGGATGGAGGAAAGAAATCCATGAACTTGGAGGTACAATGATATATATTATCCAATCGGAATAGCAGAAAGAAAATAGCCCGGAAAAAACAACAACCCATTAGCAAGTCACTGCTGAAGGGCAGGGCCTTCACCTTCCTGTTCACTAAAGTATGCCAAATGCTCTGTCCAGCACCTGGCATACGGTAGGCACTCATATTTGTTGAATGCTCTAATGCCCTGTGCGTGTGGATTCCCCTTTGTCAATGTTTTTGTTTGTTTGGTTTTGGTTTTGCTTTTTACCAGTTTAAGTGAAGTGTTTTTTCTGAAGGCTCTGAGACAGAATTGGATTCATGCCTCTCTCCTGGCTTCTGGTGGCTGCCGCAATCCTTGACCTTCTTTGGCTTTTGGACGCATCACTGCCACCTGTGTCTCCGTCTCCACATCGCCTTCTCCTCTTTGCCTTTTGTCTCCAATGTCCTTCTTCCTTTTCTTACAGCTGTCATTGGATTCAGGGCCCACTTTGACTCCAGGATGATCTCAACTCGAGACTCTTCATTACAGTTGTAAGGACCCCTTTCCAAATAAGGTCACACTCACAGTTCCAGGGGTTAGGAGCTGGACATACATTTTTGGAGGCCTATTCACCCCCTACAGAGATGGAAAACAGACGAGTGGCTGTCAGAGGTTAGGGATGGTGGGGACATGGCTGTGTAGGTGACTATCATGGGGTGGCTCCCAAGGGTGATTTTTGTGGCAATGGGACAGTTTTGTATTTTGATTGTAATAGTTACATGAAACTACACATATGATAAGATGACACACATTGGGTCGGGCTTGGTGGCTCACGCCTGTAATCCCAGCATTATGGGAGGCTGAGATGGGCAGATCACCTGAGGTCAGGAGTTAGAGATCAGCCTGGCCAACAAGGTGAAACCCTTTCTCTACTAAAAATACAAAAACTAGCCAGGTGTGGTGGCGGGCTACGTATAGTCCCAGCTACTCGGGAGGCTGAGGCATGAGAATGGGTTGAACCTGGGAGGCAGAGGTTGCAGTGAGCTGAGATCGCGCCACTGCACTCCAGCCTGGGCGAGAGAGTGAGACTCTGTCTCAAAAAAGAAAAAAAAAAAAGATGACGCACATTGCACCAATGTCAATTTTCCCGGTTTTGATGTTGTACCATAGTTATGTAAGATATTGTCACTGGGAGAAACTGTGTGAAGTGTAAATGGGGACATCTCGATACTATCCTTGCAACTTCTGTGAATCTATAATTGTTTCCAAATAAAATGTTCAACAAAACCCTACGTGCACATGCACACACAGACACAAACATAAGCAAAGTCAAAAGACAAATGACAAACAGGCAAAAAAATTCTTTTCTTTCCCAGAACAAGACCCAAATTGATTCAGCAGACATTTTAATTAGGAAATCCTATAAATCAGGACCACTTTTAATTTCAGACACTCCGTTATGAAGCGTACATCTACATCTGGAGGATGAACAGGCCATTGAATCTCTTAAAAACTGGCTTTGCTACCTTCGCATTTGGGGGTAGGACCTTCGTAAGACACCATTAAGCTTCAAAGGGCAAAGCCTGTGATTTCTCCTCGGGGAAAGCCACATTTTAAAACCAGCTTCGGTCACAAAGAACAGCTGCATGGGAGAAGGAGACAAACCGCACGGGGAGGATGTGCAGAGCCTGAGGCCCACAGCTTCACAGAGGCCAGCACAGAGCAGAAAAACATCCAGGGTCTCTTGTCCATTCCTACAGACACCAGCAAGGATGGAATAAGAAAGTTGGGCTGGGAGGATGGGAGAGAGGCTCAAGAGATTGTTTAGGTGGGCCCAGTGGCTCACGTCTATAATCCCAGCATTTTGAGAGGCCAAGGCAGGAAGATTGCTTGAGGGCGGGAGTTTGAGATCAGCCTGAGCAACATAATGAGATCCCATCTCTACACAAAAATACAAAAATTAGGCGGGGCGCGGTGGCTCATGCCTGTAATCCTGGCACTTTGGGTAGCCGAGCAGGGGGTGGATCACGAGGTCAGAAGTTCAAGACCAGCCTCGCCAAGATGGTGAAACCCCGTCTCTACTAAAAATACAAAAATTAGCCAGGCGCTGTGGCAGGTGCCTGTAATCCCAGCTACTTGGGAGGCTGAGGAAGGAGAATCGCTTGAACCTGGGTGGCAGAGGTTACAGTGAGCCGAGACCATGCCACTGCACTCCAGCCTGGGCAACAGAGCGAGACTCCGTCTCAAAAAAAAAAAAAAATTAGCCAGCATGGTGGTGGCATGCACCTGTGCTCCCAGCTACTAGGGAGACTAAATCAGGAGGATCACTTGAGCCCAGGAATTTAAGGCTGCAGTGAGCCAAGATTGTGCCACTGCACTCCAGCCTCGGCAACAGTTTTTAAAAAGCCAGTTTTTAAAAGATTCAATGGCTTATTCATCCCCTAGAGGTAGATGTACACTTCATAACGGAGTGTCTGAAATTAAGAGTGGTCCTGATTTATAGGATTTCCTAATCAAAATGTCTGCTGAATCAATTTGGGTTTTATCTTGGAAGAAAAAAGATTTTTTTTTTTTGCCTGTTTGTCATTTGTCTTGTTGTTTGTCATTTGTGAGACCTTGTCTGAAAACAAAAAAAGGAAAAAGATTGTGACTGCTTCTGAGAAAGCTCCTGGTGTGGCTAGAGTGGCCTTGTGGGAAAAGAACAAATTCTGTAAAGAAGAAAGCAAGAAAAAGCAAGTACTTCTCCCCACACATCCCCTCGCCCGTTTGCGTCCTCTGGAGACTCCAGGCAGTAGCGGAGCACAAACAGGGCTCTTCTCGGCGTGAGACAGAAAAGACACCGCGGTGAGTTAGCTTTCCCAGGAACTGCACGGCCTCCCACCTACAGCCAACCCTGATCTTGAACCGCGACTGGCAGGGTTGAGTCCTTTACAAGCGCACACTCAAATTCAACTCTCAAATTCCCCTTCAAAACTGTCCAGGTCCCTCCAGTCCCCTAAATGGAGTTGACATCTCCCACCTTCTCCAGCCATAAACCGGTGGGAGAAAGGGTCGGCCCCAACCCACCCACGGCCAAGCTTTTACATTTTCTCCCCGACCCCGTAACACCACCTTCACTAAGTTCCTCCACCGAAAATCACAACGAAATGTATGCGTGTCCTCAGTTTTTAGTATTGTTATAGCCCTCAAGATTCCCAACCCTCGGAGCCCTGTCTTTAAAGAATCCAACCTCACGATGCCCCCAAGGGCTAAGACAGGCTCACGGTGATGCCAGCGGCTGCCCCCGCTCTCCCCGTCTATCCCCGGTCTTTGGCCCCGACGGCCACCAGTGCGTTCCTTCCCTGCAGCCCACACCACTTCTCCCACCCAGAGGTGGGGTCTATTTCCTATTCCTTAAATCTGGGCTGACCTTGTGACTTTCTATGACCAAAGGAATGCAGAAGTGACATTTCCTGACGTTGGAATCCAGGCCTTAAGAGGACTGGCAGCTTCTGTTTCCTCCCTCTTGAAAGCCAGCTGCTATGTAAGAAGGCTGACTTCCCTGAGACCACCACGCTGTGAGGAGGCCCCAGCCGAGGTGACGTGGCTATGCAGACGAGCACAAAGGCACTCGACAAGTGAGTGAAGGCTTGGTGGACCATCCAGCTCAGCCAAGCTGCCGGCCAAATGTAGCCGAGTGAGTAAGCCCAGCTGGTAGCAAGTAGAGCAAGAGCCACCCAGCTGTGCCCACTCGACCCGCAGAATCCTGAGGAATAATAAATTATGTCGCTTTAAGCCATTAGGTTTTGAGGTAGTTTGTCATGCAGTAATAGATAAAGATAGCTTTTACTTTCCTAAGAAAGAGACCAAGGACTACAAAGAAAAAATGGGCAAAAGAAAGAAATAGTTCATACAGAATGAAATGCAAATGATCCTTAAACATCAAGAGATGCTCAACCCCAGTTGTAATAAGAGAAATGCAAATTAAATTGCCCTTAGACATCATTTTGCGCAATTCAATTTGGCAAAAATCCAAAATTGTAAAATACATCGTTGGTGTGGCTGTGAGGAAACAGGTTTGGTTGTGGAGAATACAAAATTGTACAAACCTTATGGAGAGCAGTTTGGCATTGCTTATAAAAAATACAAATGTATTGGCCGGGCGCGATGGCTCATGCCTGTAATCCCAGCACTTTGGGAGGCCGAGGCGGGTGGATCACGAGGTCAGGAGATCGAGACCATCCTCGCTAACACAGTGAAACCCCGTCTCAACTAAAAATACAAAAAATTAGCCAGGCATGGTGGCGGGCACCTGTATTCCTAGCTACTCAGGAGGGTGAGGCAGGAGAATGGCGTGAACCCGGGAAGCGGAGCTTGCAGTGAGCTGAGATGGTGCCACTGCACTCCAGCCTGGGCGACAGAGCAAGACTCCGTCTCAAAAAAAACAAAAAACAAACAAACAAACAAAAAAATGTATTTATCCTTTGACCCAGCAATCCTACCTCTGAAAATCTATTCTACAGACAGATATTCACGAGTATAAAATGACCCATGAACGAGGTTATACACTACAGCACTGTTTGTAATGGTAAAAGCTTGGAAACAAGCCAAGGGCCTGCCCATGGGGAGCTGGCTGAATAAACATGAAACACAACTGGAAGAAAGAATAAGGAGCTACTTCAGGATATAGTAAGAAAAAAAAGAAGGTGCAAGATACTGTATCAATGATGTTACCTTTCTGTAAGAAAAGAGTGGAAAATAGGAATAAATATATTTGCATTTCCTTGTTGTAGTTGTATAAAGAAATACAGAAAAATAAACAGAAAATGAATAAAAATGGTTATGTGAGTGTGAGAGAGACAATTGTGGGGAAGATGAAGATGGGAGTTAGAATTTTTTTTGTATAGTTTTATACCCCATTTTAATTTTTAATTTTTTAGAGACACAGTCTTGCACTCTTGCCCAGGCTGGAGGTGCAATGGTGTGATCATGGCTCACTGCAGCCTCGAACTTCTGGGCTTAAGCAGTCCTCTTGCCTCAGCCTCTCGAGTAGCTGGGAATACAGGCACACACCACTATGCCCGGCTAAATACAGGCACACGGCACTATGCCTGGCTAAGTTTAATTAAAAATTGTAGAGATGGGGCTTCGCTATGTTGCCTAAGCTGGTCTTGAACTCTTGGCCTCAAGTGATCCTCCTGCCTTGATCTCCCAAAGTGTTGAGGTTATACGTGTGAGCCACCGTGCCCAGCCTATACTTATTTTATGCCTCATCATGTCATTTTGACTTTTGAACCATGCAAACATGCAACAAATTAAAAGCCAATCTCGGCCCGGCACTGGTGGCTCATGCCTGTAAGCCCAGCACTTTGGGAGGCCGAGGCGGGCAGATCACGAGGTCAAGAGATTGAGACCATCCTGGCCAACATGGTGAAACCCCATCTCTACTAAAAATACAAAAATTATCTGGGCATGGTGATGGGTGCCTGTAGCCCCAGCTACTCGGGAGGCTGAGGCAGGAGAATCGCTTGAACCCGGGAGGCGGAGGTTGCAGTGAGCCGAGATCACGCCACAGCACTCCAGCCTAGGTGACAGTGTGAGACTCTGTCTAATAAAAAAAAAAAAGTCTCAGGTGGAGAATGAAACAGAAGGGAGTGGCTGTTGATGTCGCTGGGATTTCTTTTAAGGATGCTGAAAATGTTCTAAAATTAGATGGTGGTGTTGGTTGTACCACTGTGAATATTCTAAAAATCATTAAACTGTATGCTTCACATGGGTGAATTTTATGGTATGTGGAATATATCTCAATAAAGCTGTAAGAAAAGAAGTAAGGCACACATACACCCCAAAACTTTCAGGAGTGAAAAAGAAGATACATCTCAGGTACAGCAAAGATTAAAATGACAGTAAAAAGTACTATGGCTTTGATACAGAAGTGCTGGGAAGGGAAGGGCACGGTCCCTGGCTAGGGCTCCACCCCCAGGCCTGCGCCCACGGACCTAGGTGAGGACAGGCATTTTTGTTTTCCTGCCCATATATTGCATTTTCCAAGACTACCCTGGCCGGCCACGTCCCTATCCTGTGCCTATAGAAACCCGAGACCCTAGCGGGCAGACACGCAGGTGGCTGGACAGAGAAGCACGTCAGCAGAGGAACACACGGGCGGCTGGACGTTGACAGGAGCACATGGGTTGAAGAGCACGCCCATAGGCACAGGCAGAGGCCGGCACGCCGGCAGGCCATTGACCGGGGGAATGACATGGAGTTTGGCTGAAGTGGTCGGAGAAGAGTCCAGCCGCTGAGTGGCTGACTCCAGGGGAAAACCATCTCCCTTCTGGCTTTGCCATCTTCTGACAGCTACTTCCACTCAATAAAACCTCGCACTCATTCTCCAAGCCCACGTGTGGTCCGATTCTTCCGGGACACCAAGGCACCTGGTACACACCTGGGACACAGAAAGCCCTTTGTCCTTGCAACAAGGTAAAGGGTCTAATTGAGCTGGTTAACACAAGCCGCCTATAGATGGAACACCTAAAAGAGCACATGCAGCCCACGCCCACTGGGGCTTCAGGTGCTGTGAACATTCACCCCCAGACGCTGCCTGTCTGTATGCTCTCCTAGAGGCTTGAGCAGTGGGGCCCTGAAGAAGCGAGCCACACCCCCTGTCACATGCCCTGTGAGGAGGACAAGGGAACCTTCCCCATTTCAACCTGATGCTCATAAACTCAAAACTGTCTAAAACACCTAGAAAATACAATTAATAAAAACCAGCTTAAGGATAAATAGAAAACCTGAATGAAGAGTCTGATAAAATTTAAAGAAATTAGATTATTAATAAACAATCTTTCACAAAAGAAACAGACCGAGGTAAGTTTAAGACCTCTTTAAAGGAGAAGATGGTTTTGGTTTTATATATAAAGTGTTCTGGAGACAAAGAGGAAACATTCTCCAATTCTTTTTATAGTTCGAAAAAGAGAAAATTGGGAGAAAAGTCATTACAGGCCAATCTACTTATGAACATGGATGTGAAAACCCTCTAGGTAAAATATTGCGCAAATCAAATCCAGGCAAAACACATAGTAGTATAAGAGTTCAGGCCGGGCGCGGTGGCTCACACCTGTAATCCCAGAACTTTGGGAGGCCGAGGCGGGCGGATCACCTGAGGTCAGGAGTTAGAGACCAGCCTGGCCAACATGGTGAAACCCCGTCTCTACTAAAAATACAAAAATTAGCCGGGCGTGGTGGCACATGCCTGTAGTCCCAGCTACTCAGGAGGCTGAGGCAGGAGAATCCCTTGAACCTGGGAGGCAGAAGTCGTAGTGAGCCGAGATCGCACCGCTGCACTCCAGCCTGGGCGACAGGGCAGGACTCCATCTTGAAAAAAAAAAGAAATATAACAGGTCACGTCCAGGTTGTTATGTTCCAGAAACTCAAGGTTGATTTAACATTAGAAAATTGACCTGTGAAGTCACCATATTAATAGGCACAGGGAAAAGAGAGCAGATGATATTCTTTTTTTTTTTTTTTGAGACGGAGTCTCGCTCTGTCACTCAGGCTGGAGTGCAGTGGCGCGATCTCGGCTCACTGCAAGCTCCTCCTCTTGGGTTCACGCCATTCTCCTGCCTCAGCCTCCCGAGTAGCTGGGACTACAGGCGCCCGCCACCTCGCCCGGCTAATTTTTTTTTTATTTTTAGTAGAGGTGGGGTTTCACCGTGTCAGCCAGGATGGTCTCGATCTCCTGACCTTGTGATCCGCCGGCCTCGGCCTCCCAAAGTGCTGGGATTACAGGCGTGAGCCACCGTGCCTGGTCAAGAGCAGATTATATTCTTAATAGATGCATGAAAATAAATTGATAAAATGTAAAAACCACTCATGATTGGAAAAAAACTCAAACTCTTAGCAAATCTGAAGTGAAAGAAGATATACACTAACAATCTATGGGAAACGTCACATTTGACAGTGACATACTAGTCGTCATCCTCAGCCAGTCAGGAATACAATCAGATGCCCAGCACGCTGTTTCCACTGGAGATTGTCCTGAGGGCCCCAGACAGTGCAGACAGAGAAGAAAAAGAAACTCAATGTTTGAGAATGAGAAGAAGGGAAAGCAAACTGTAATCACTGTCTAATGATATGATCATATAAATAGAACCTCCCCCAAACTTGCAGACAGATGACAGAATTAATAGGGTGGTTGAGCTAGTTGGTTGATCAATAAACAAAAATCAATTGCCTTTCTACATTCCAAAAAGCAATGAAAAAATCAATTTACCAAAGTAACAAAAAGTATAGGGTGCCTAACAATAAAGCTAGCAAGCGTTCTGCAAGGGACTTCTAAAGGTCCCAGTTTCGATGGCCTCAGGTCCAACCCAAATGTGGCAACAGAGGAGAGAGACGGCGGAGCACGGACTGACATCTCAGACCCACCCTATAGCTCCTGTCAGATTTCCCCTTCATCAGCCTCCAGCATGGTGTCAGAAGGTGTCGAGTTAAAGAGAATATTAAACAGAGCGTGTAGGCAGCTCCCCAGCAGCCACCATCTTAAAAGCCGGCCCCTCATCCTGCCTTCCCCAAGGAGCAGCTGGCGGCGCTGACCCGGCCCAAGGCCTCTGTGTCCCCCAACAGGTGTCTCCGATGACACCTGGTCCCACTCACAGAGCAGGGGGGCACCAGCCGTGCCTGCTGGGTCGGAGGGTGATAATGGACGCAGCAGCTGGCTGGGGATGCTTCTGCCTCATGCTTCCACGTGTTTTTTTTTTTTTTTTTTGAGATGGAGTCTTGCTCTGTCACTCAGGCTGGAGTGCAGTGGCACCACCTTGGCTCACTGCAAGCTCCGCCTCCTGGGTTCACGCCATTCTCCTGCCTCAGCCTCCTGAGTAGCTGGGACTACAGGCGCCCGTCACTACACCCGGCTAATTTTTTGTATTTTTAGTAGAGACGGGGTTTCACTGTGTTAGCCAAGATGGTCTCGATCTCCTGACCTCGTGATCCGCCTGCCTCGGCCTCCCAAAGTGCTGGGATTACAGGCATGAGCCACCGCGGCCGGCCTTCCACATGTATTTTTAAGAAGAATTTTATTTTGCCAATGCGTAATCCTATGGTCTGAATGTTGGTGTCACCCCCAGCTTCATATACTGAAGTCTAGTCACCAACGTGATGGTATCGGGGGTGGGAGGGACCTTTGGGGAGTGATGAGGGCAGAGCCCTCATGAATAGGGCTAGGGGCTATCTATGAACCAGGAAGCAGCCCTCACCAGACGCTGAATTTGCCAGCACTTGATTTCGGGCTCCCAGCCTCCAGAATTGCAAGAAAGAAATTTCTGTCGTTGATAAGCACCCAGTCTATGGTATTCTGTGATGACAGCTGAACGCACTAAGAGAGGCAAAGCATCTACATTGTTAACAAAACAAACCTCAGGGCAGGTGAGAGAGGGGACCCACAGCACATGTAGGAAGTGGCCTGAGCTGCACGCGCCCCACCCACCCCAGGGCCCTGCTTGTCCAGCGTCTCTCTCCTCTGGAGAGGCCCCGTCCCATGCCTGGGCTTGCCCTGCCTCCACCTTGAACAAATCTCCTAGAGGAAACAAAAGGAAGAAAGAGAGCATTTCCCTGGGCAACCTCTCCACCCTGAGAAGACCACCTAAGCTCCTTGATGCCCACTCCCTATCCCACCCTTTGCTCTGAACCTGGTGTGACCCAGGGGCCAGTGGGGGGTCTTCCTGACCCCCAGGGCAGGTCTCCCTATGCTCCCATCCCCAGCCTCGCCCCCACTTCATGATAGAACGTGGCTTTCCCTACAACGGGCAGGGACAGGCCATGGCAGACCACAGCAGTGTGGGGGAGTCTGTAGGGACTGTCTGCATTAGCAACACAGGGTCCCCAGAGCTTAGGTGGCTGACCTTCCTTGGCTGGTGTGGTGCAGGTGAGGGGTGGGGCAGAGAGTGGGGGTCATTCCGGCCTCATAGAGCAGCTCCTGCCAAGGCATGAAGTGGGAGGGTGTTTGGGGCCCACACCTCAGACACCTTTCAAAGTCACCCTGGTCAGAGATGCATGGCTTGGGCCTTCGGATAGAAGAGGCCTGCTGGGTTTTCGGAGCATCCTGCCCTGCCATGGGTACCCCCGCTGGGGACCTGGGAGAGAGTGGGAGGGGCCTTGGGGAGATCCCCCTGTGTGCCTCAGAGGCTAGGCTCCCAGGATGGGGATGTCTGGGAGCAGGGATTCCGCAATAAGCCGGGCGCCTTCCTACTCCCCCCAGGCTCTTGGATCCTGTTTAGCGACCCTGGGCAGAGATGATGGCTGGATCCACCATGGGCTGGGAGCTGAGCTGGGGCAGGGGTGGAGGCTCTGCTCACCCAGGCTCGTGACCTTGTGTGGCCCAGAACCTGAACTATCTGCTGTGCAGACACCAACTGGCCAATAACAGCACCCAAAATTGTCCAGAGCGAAAATGTAGTTTGTTGTTATCGCAGCCTGAAATTTCAGGAGTGGGCAGTGGCCTCGGGTGGGCGTCTGTGTCATCCCGAGAACAGGAAGAGGCTTGTCTCTGTGGGTGCTGATGGAGTGGGACAAACTGTAGGAATTCGGGTGCCCTTGCCCTTCAAATCAAGCCCCAACACGGAATTTAGCATTTTTACACTGATTGGAATTTGTGGCTTATCGCTGCTACTCACACCATCCCAGCAAGCATGGCTTAAATGTCAAGATATATTTTTCAAGTGCATAAGACACCAAAGATCACAGCTGCCTGGAAGAGTGAATTTTAATTAGCGAATGGATCCCATAAAACCGCCCAGCCCCACTGGAGCGGCCCTGACGTGCTTTGTTCGGTGCTGGGTGTTTGTTACAGACTCAGATGGTTGGCGATAGTGTCCAGAGGACCCCGGGGCTGCCTTAGTGGGAACTGGTTTTAACTTTCAAACCTTATCAGTTAAGTCACTCATGCCAAATACCTGTGGAGAAAGAAGTGGGCACACAAAGCACTTCATGAGTAGCTAATGGTGTGGGGCGCCCCAGAACCTTTCACGCACCCTGGTTGCTTAGCAGTTAATTCACACGGTCTAGAGTGAACTCATTACCCCATAGGAAGGCTTGGTGGGCCACTGCATTTGGAAAGGCATTCCCTTACCAGTTCCCAGCTCATGTTCCCTCCTGCCTGCTCCCACTTTTTGCCTCCTAGGTATCAAAGAAGGGGGTGCCAGAGAAAGCCAAGGGCGCCCCCTTCTTTGATGCCAACAGAGACTCATGTAGTTCAGTGACAGTTGGGCTAGCCTTGCCCCAGCAACTGGGCACTGAGATGAAGGGTGAGGTCCTGACCTCTGGCGAGCTCACAGATTCCTGACATGGAAGCATGCAGGCTGTGACAGGGTGACCAGGTGCCCGGGTGACAGCGTGACCGCGGTGGACAGCGAATGCAGAACACAGTGGGGAAGGCACGTGTGGGCGTGTTGGGAAGGTGGTGAACTGGGTCAGTATTAGATGGATTTTAGATGATGAATACGAACTTCCTAGGCAAAGGGGGACAGCAAGGCCTGGAGGGAGGGCTGGGGACAATCGGTCCTCAGTGCTCAGAGCTGACTGGCGAAAGTGACAGTAAAACAATCAGGCATCAGGTAAGAGCCAGAGGCAAGAGTCAGTGACCCCGAAGAGCACGTGGGTGTTCCCAGCGGCTCCACAGGTACCTAGGGTTAAGGTAGGAAAAGTTAAACAGGTCACTGATACCGAGAAGTCAGTGTTGATCAATAACTTTGAAAAGAGAGGATAGGGCTGAGCGTGGTAATCCCAGCACTTTGGGAGGCCGAGGTGGGTGAATCACCTGAAGGTTGGGAGTTTGAGACCAGTCTGGCCAACATGGTGAAACAACCGTCTCTACTAAAAATACAAAAAAATTAGCTGGGCGTGGTGACGGGCGCCTGTAATCCCAGTTGCTGGGGAGGCTAAGGCAGGAGAATCACTTGAACCAGGGAGGCGGAGGTTGCAGTGAGCTGAGATCATGCCATTGCACTCCAGCCTGGGCCACAGCAGTGGAGAGGATAGGTCCAAGTGACAGAAAGGGAGGATTGGAATTAATTTTTTTTTTTTTTTTTTGAGACGGAGTCTCGCTCTGTCCCCCAGGCTGGAGTGCAGTGGCGTAATCTTGGCTCACTGCAAGCTCTGCCTTCCGGGTTCACGCCATTCTCCTGCCTCAGCCTCCCGAGTAGCTGGGACCACAGGCCCCTGCCACCACGCGTGGCTAATTTTTTGTACTTTAGTAGAGACAGGGTTTCACTGTGTTAGCCAGGATGGTCTCAATCTCCTGACCTTGTGATCCACCTGCCTTGGCCTCCCAAAGTGCTGAGATTACAGGCGTGAGCCACCACGCCCGGCTGGGGAGGATTGGTATTCTTACTGAGTCCTTTGCATCTAGGGGAAATGATCAATTCCAGCCTAAGGAAAACGAGTGCAAGGTGAGCTGGGAACAGCTTGTTGTACCCCAAAGCAAGGACATTACTGAGGATCACGAGGTCAACATTAATAAGGCTCAGGGGCCACTTGAAGAGTTCCTCCTGCCCCAAATGGGGTCAATTTGAGCATCAGTAATAATAACTGCAATGGACTGAAACTCATCATATGTGTTTGAATCCATGTTCATAAAAAAAATACAAAAGCCCAAAGCAGCACACCCAATTTGTGGCAGATTAAAGATGGCCCCAGAGTTTTTGATAGTCTTCCTTCCAATGGTGGGGCCTTTGTCCCCATCCTCATGAATGTGGGTGGGCTCATTGACTGCTTTGACTGGTAGAATACAGCAAAAATGAGACATGTGTGGGCCCAGGCCTTAAGAAACTAGCAGCTTCCACTTCCTCTGTTGGAAGCCTGCAGACACCCTGAATTGCCCTGTGGGAAGGTGCCTGTCCCAAGGCCCTCATGCTTCAGTGGCTGCGGGTGGGCGCTGTGTGGCAGTGCAGCTGCATCTGGCCTTCCCGTCATGCCCATCAATGTGCCAGCCAGGTGAATAAAGCCTTCTGGGGTCCGAGACCATTCATCTGCTGGTGAAAAACCATCCAGTGACCTCAGTCGGTGCGATGAGGAGCAGAACAATGCTCAGCAGGGCCTTGCTGCATTCTTGGCCCACAAAACCATAAAAACCATAATGACAGTTGTTGTCTAAGTTGCTGACATTGGGGTGATTAGTTGTACAGTAGCAGATAACCAGAATGCAGTGTGTCACACACCTAGGGAGGTGGTAGGGAGCCAGTCATTATTTTGAAAACTGATGAACAAAGGAAAAGACTCAAGCTTTAAAAAAAGAGAAGGGGCAGCCGGGCGTGGTGGCTCATGCCTGTAATCCCAGCACTTTGGGAGGCCGAGGTGGGCAGATCACAAGGCCAGGAGATCAAGACCATCCTGGCTAGCACGGTGAAACCCCGTCTCTACTAAAAAAATACAAAAAAATTAGCCAGGCGTGGTGGTGGGCGCCTGTAGTCCCAGCTACTCAGGAGGCTGAGGCAGGAGAATGGCATGAACCTGGGAAGTGGAGCTTGCAGAGAGCCGAGATTGTGCCACTGCACTCCAGCCTGGGTGACAGAGCAAGACTCTGTCTAAAAAAAAAAAAAAAAAAAAAAAAAAAAAAAGAGAGAAGGGGCATCACTTACAGAAATACAAAGGATTACAAAGGAATATCTGGACAAGTATTTGCTGAGAAATTAGATAACTTAGATAAAATGAACAATTCATAGATGGAGACAAACTACTGAAACTGACTCAAGAAGAAATAGAAAATTCTAATAGACCTATGGCACATAAGCAGATTGACACCAACAGCACAGGCAACACAAATCAGTAAAGCTAGAAAAAAGATGAAAAACAGGCTGGGCATGATGGCTCATGTTGTAATTCTAGCACTTTGGGTTCGAGGCCAGCCTGGGCAACATTGTGGAACCCCATTTCTACAAAATAAAAATTGAAAAAATTTCCATTGTGCACTTGCTTCTGTGTGTACTCAGCAATGAAAGGAAATAATAGATAAATTGGACTTTGTCAAAATTAAAAACTTTTGTGTTGCTGATATGGGAACAGGGCAGGGAAGTGCTGGGTAGAGAAGGGCTGGGTCCCTGGCGAGGCTTCCACCCTCAGGCCTGTGCCCACGGACCTATGTGAGGACAAGCATTTCTGTTTTCGTGCCCCAAAAGTTGCCTTTTGGCCCATCACACCCCCCATCCTGGGCCCATAAAAACTCTGAGACCCTAGTGGGCACACACACAAGTGGCTGGACACTGAGAGGAGCAGAGGACCAGAAGAGCACATCGACAGACACCAGCAGACGTTGGCAGGCCATCAACAGCGGGACGACGTGGAATTCAGTTAGGGGTGGTCGGAGGAGAGTCCGGCTGCTGGGCAGCTCAACTCCAGGGGAAGACCACCTTCCCACTCCATTCCCCTTCTGGCTCCCCATCCATCTCACTGACAGCTACTTCCACCACTCAATAAAACCTTGCAGTCATTCTCCAAGCCCACATGTGATCCAATTTTTCTGGTACACCAGGGCAAGAATCCGGGATACAGAAAACCCTCTGTCCTTGTGATAAGGCAGAGGGTCTAATTGAGCTGATTAACACAAGCCACCTGCAGATGGCAAAGCTGAAAGAGCACACTAACACACACCCACTGGGGCTTCGGGAGCTGTAAACACTCAACTCTAGTCGCTGTTGTGGGGTCGGAGCCCAAAAGTGCTCCCCACGACCTGCCCATTTGCATGCTCCCACTAGGGGTTTGAGCAGTGGGGCACCAAAGAAGTGAGCCACACCCCTGTGAGGGGAGCAAGGGAACTTCTCCCATTCATTGCAAATGACACCATCAGAAAAAGTAAAAATATTTGCATATCTGATAAAGGTCTTGTATACAGAATATAAAAAGAACCCTTACAACTCAATAAGAAAAGACAAGCCAATTAAGAATGGGCATATGATCAGAATGGAAATTTCTTCAAAAAATATATGAATGGCTAATAGGCACATATAAAGATGCTCAACATCATTAACCATCTTGGAATTATAAATCAAAACCATAGAGAGACACCACTTCACACCCAGCGGCATGGTTACAATAAAAAAGTCAGATAATAGCAAGTGTTAGCAAGAATGTGGATACATTGAAACCCTCTTACACTGCTGATAGGAATCTACAACTGTGCTGATGTTTTGGAAAACAGCCCAGCAGTTCTTCAAAAGGTTAAACATAAAGCGACCATGTTACCCAGCAATATTGCTTTTCGGTGTATACCCAACAACAATAACAAAAAATTTTTGCGGGGGCGTGGTGGCTCACGTCTGTAATCCCAGCACTTTGGGAGGCTGAGGCTGGTGGATCACGAGGTCAGGAGATCGAGCCCATCCTGGCTAACATGGTGAAACCCCGTGTCTACTAAAAACACAAAAAATTGGCTGGGCATGGTGGCAGGTGCCTGTAATCCCAGCTACTCGGGAAGCTGAGGCAGTAGAATGGCGTGAACCCGGGAGGGGGAGCTTGCAGTGAGCTGAGATCGCGCCATTGCACTCCAGCCTGGGCAACAGAGCGAGACTCTGTCTCAAAAAAAAAAAAATTCGCAAAAAAAAAAAACTTGTACATGAATGTTCATAGCAGTGTTAGTCATGATAGTCGAACAAGAAAAACAACGTTCAAATCCATCAACTGGCTGAATGGAACAAGAGGTGCTATAGCCACATGACACATACTACAACATGGATGAATCTTCAAAACATGCCAAGTGAATAAGAAGCCAGCCTGAAAAGACCAGTGATATGATTCCATTTATATGAATCGCCCACGGGAGGCAAATTCATAGAGCCAGAAAGTGGCTTACAGGTTGCCTAGGGCCAAAGGGTGAATGGGGAGGGACAGAGGGGTGAGGGCTAATGGGACATAGGGTTTTTAGGGGGTAATGAAAGTGTTCTGGGTCTGGTGTGGTGGCTCACGCTTGTAATCCCAGCACTTGGGGAGGCCGAGGCGGGTGGATCTCTTTAGGTCAGGAGTTCAAGACCAGCCTGGCCAACATGGTGAAACCCTGTCTCTACTAAAAAAAAAAAAAATACAAAAATTAGCCAGGTATTGTGGTTCACTCCTGTCATTCCAGCTACTCAGGAGGTTGAGGCACGAGAATTGCTTGAGCCCGAGAAGCAGAGGTTGCAGTGGGCTGAGATCCTGCCACTGCACTCTAGTCTGGGCAACAGGCTCTGGAGACAGGAGACTCTGTCTAAATAGTAAAAAAAAAAGTTCTAAAATTGTGATGGTTATGGTGATGGCGAATATACTAAAAACCATTGAATTTACACGTTAAAATGGTGTGAAATGGTGAGTTTTATGGTATATGAATTGTATCTCAGTAAAGGTTTTTTGTTTTGTTTTGTTTTGTTTTTGAGACAGAGTCTCACTCTGTCACCACGCTGGAGTGCAGTGGTGCGATCTCCGCTCACTGCAGCCTCCACCTCCTGGGTTCAAGCAATTCTCCTGCCTCAGCCTCCCGAGTAGCTGAGACTCCAGGCACGCACCACTGTGCCCAGCTAATTTTTGTGTTTTCAGTAGAGACGGGGCTTCACCATGTTGGCCAGGATGGTCTCCATCTCTTGACTTTGTGATCCACTCGCCTTGGCCTCCCAAAGGGCTGGGATTACAGGCGTGAGCCACCGCCCCCAGCCTCAATAAAGCTTTTATTTAAAAAGGAACTCACCAGACAGTGTAGAAGGCGTGCCGGGCTGGAGAGCAGTGTGGTCCAGGGGTGTGAGGAAGCACACGTGGTGTATTTGGGACCCGGTGTGCTGATGGCAGCCTGCAGTGTGGGCGTGGTGGGGGGAGGGTGGCAGACAGGGACTGTGGGGACAGCAGGGACAACAGGCCGTGACGTCAGGATTTTCTCTGGAGGCCGCAGTGAGCCTGTGAACAACTGGAACGGGATAGGGAGAGCAGAACACTTACCCTTTAGACAGCTGGTCCTGGAACAGGAGTATGCGGCTGAAACCAGGGCTGAACCGGGACGGCGGTGCCAGGCATGGGGTGGAGGGAGTGGATTTGAGAGTTCTATGGAAGGCCTAATCAATGGGGTGTGGAGGGTGGGCCCAGGGCCCAGGAGAGATTCCCCAGGACATCCCAGGGAGGAGGGAGGTCCTGGAGTGAGAATGGCCTCTGTCCCCTGGCCTCAGGCTGCTAATTACTGAATCAATGAATCCAACCAACAGGGCCTGAGTGTCACTGCTGCCTGGCCCCATGCCAGGTGCTGGGATGTGGACACAAAGCTGGACCCCATCACCGCCCTGGGGAGGTGCATTTGGGAACTCAGTCTTGAATGGTGTAGGGGATCAGGGTGGAGGGTCCCAGCATGGCAGACGAGCCATCGGGTAGGTGTCCTCAAGTGGGGGCTGGGTGCTGATCCTTTTACAGATGTCTTTTTTTTTTTTTTTTTTTTGAGACAGAGTCTTGCTCTGTCGCCCAGGCTAGAGTGCAGTGGCACAATCTTGGCTCACTGCAACCTCCGCCTCCTGGGCTCAAGCGATTCTCCTGCCTCAGCCTCCTCAGTAGCTGGGATTACAGGCGAGTGCCACCACGCCCGGCTAATTTCTGTATTTTCAGTAGAGATGGTGTTTCACCATGTTGGCCAGGCTGGTCTCAAACTCCCGACTTCAGGTGATCCACCCGCGTTGGCCTCCCAAAGTGCTGGGATTACAGGCATAAGCCACCATGCCTGGCCCCTTTCACAGATTTCTTGTGGATTTTCTTTTAATTGGAAAAGATAATGGAAAAACTCAAGATGAAATTTGAAACCAAACCAACAAATAAAAAGCCCCTAAACCACCTCCCCTTTTCCATGACTGCTGTTCCCTTTCCTGCTGCCTTTGGAGCTTTGGCTTGGGGCCCGCAGCCTGGGTTTGGGACCCCCTTCTTGACCATGGTCAAGCGATGGACTGCTTGATGCCTCAGTGTCTTCCTTTGCAAAATGCACCTGCCTCAGAATGAGAGTGAATGTGACACGTGACAACACAGGTGAGCCATGGAGCACCAGACCTGGCACAGGGTAGCGTGCAGTGAACACCTGCCATCTGGACCATCTTGGCCTACCCATGTGGCTCCTTTTCTATAGCCGGAAGCACCGGACGGGATCCTTCAGGGCTCTGCTTTCCCTTAACTGGGAATCCTGTGTGGTTTGTTTTTCCATTTTTCTTTTCTTTTTTTTGAGGCAGAGTCTCACTCTGTCGCCCAGGCTGGAGTGCAATGGCGCGATCTTGGCTCACTGCAACCTCCACCTCCTGGGTTCAAGCCATTCTCCTGCCTCAGCCTTCTGAGTAGTTGAGATTACAGGCATGTGCCACGACGTCCAGGTAATTTTTTGTATTTTTAGTAGAGACAGGGTTTCATTATGTTGGCCAGGCTGGTCTTGAATTCCTGACTTCAGGTGATCCGCCCGCCTTGGCCTCCCAAAGTGCTGGGATTACAGGTGTGAGCTACCGCACCCGGCCTGTTTTTCCATTTTGCTATTAGTCTTCGTATTATTCTGTTGTGCTGACATGTCAACATTTTTTTAGCTAGTCTTGTGCTGTAAGCCGAGGTGGTCTCTAATCTTGCACAGGTGTTGTAAGCATCTCTGTGCACTGTCCTTGTTTAGTCAGAACTCCTGGGTTCCAAATGACAGAGACGACCTGAGCTTGCCAAGGGAAAACTGGAGAGTTACTGGTTTCTATGCCTTCTGGGGAGAAGGCCCGTGCTCAGCAGCCCTGTGTGCCTGTGTGTGCCAATTTCATTGTGTCCTGGCCAGAACTTTCTTATTCTTTGCTAATTTGGTGGATATAAAACAGGACTTCAACGGTGCTTTAACAATAGCAAGGGGTGCATGTATTTGGGTTGCCTGGTCCAGGCTCCTTCCCCATTGGTAATCCACAGTGTTTATTCCCTGGTTCGCTGCCCATGGGGGCTGCCTCCTGACGCTGTTGGGGAAAGGAGGAGGAGGTCCCGGCTTGCACACAGATTCCCTGTTTCTCAAGAATATACAGCATGCTCTCCCACTGTGCAGCCAAGGACAAGGTGTTCTGTGCGGCGCCACGGGGCAGTCTCTGTTTCTGCAGGCTGCCCAAGAGGGGCCGGGGAAGTGATAAGTGAAAATCCATCACAACTTCTAGAACCAGCTCCAAGGACACACTCAGCGGCTGGGGCACCAGCAGGACTCGGTAAAACTCAGCAATGCTTCAGCACAATGATTACATTTCAGCCCCATAGTCCTCGCTGGGGAAGGGCTTTGGAGGACAGCTTACAAAAAGCCTGAGGACTGTTGGAAAGGAATTTTCGTAGGGGGAGGAGAAGGGGAAGGAAACTTGGGCTTTGCCTGAAACCCAGTGGACCAGGTTTCTCCCCTCTGTGGAGTGTCCGAGTAGTGGGCGCATCCCCGGGGGTTTATTTTCTTTGTTTGAACAAACCACGAGCAAACATGGCAAGTGGTCCTGGGGGTGCGGAGAGTGTAAGTCAGTGTGTTTTACACAGGTTTATGTATTGTATTATACAAGGGATGTTGGTCTACACCAATAAAAAGCCTTTGAATTTGAGGAATTTCCATTTGATTCATTTTCCCCAAATCTTCGCAAGAGGAGGATGATTTTTGCAAAAGGGGGATGAACAGAAAGGTTATTCCATTAGTCATTTTTCTCCTTATTAGAGTATTGGGTTTCATCTCCGAGAATGAGCGGCACACGCCCTGGGACTCAGGTATGTTGGGATGTCGAGAACCCCTTTGCAAGAGGCACCAAGGAGATTTGGTGGGAAAAATGAATCCTCCCTCTAACATGAAACTTCCTCTGCTCTGGTTTCTCTTATAAGTTTGATATAATTTGCTGTTTTCCAGAAATCCTCAAAATATATGGCTCACCAAGAGCATGATTCTCATATCCCCATGCAGCTGGGGGAACTTATTCCCTCGAAAGTGATGTATTATCTGGCCATTTCTTAGCTATTTGGGGAGTGAAGGATATGATACAAATATGGTCCCTCATCATGAATTGGACATCTCTGAATCATTTAGCTTTTTTTTTTTTTTTTTTTTTGAGACGGAGTCTTGCTCTGTCACCCAGGCTGGAGTGCAGTGGCGTGATCTCGGCTCACTGCAAGCTCCACCTCCTGGGTTCACACCATTCTCCTGCCTCAGCCTCCCAAGTAGAGGGGACTACAGGCACCCGCCACCACACCCGGCTAATTTTTTTGTATTTTTAGTAGAGACAGGGTTTCACTGTGTTAACCAGGATGGTCTCGATCTCCTGACCTTGTGATCTGCCTGCCTTGGCCTCCCAAAGTGCTGGGATTACAGGCGTGAGCCACCATGCCTGGTCTGAATCATTTAGTTTTAAAAATTTGATCCATCAGGACTTTGAGTGAAAGGAGTATAGCTGTGACCTGGCATTAATAATAATAATAGGCCAGGCACTGTGGCTCACGCCTGTAATCCCAGCACTTTGGGAGGCCAAGGCAGATGGATCACCTGAGGTCGAGAGATCGAGCACAGCCTGGCCAACATGGTGAAACTCCATCTCCACTAAAAATACAACAATTAGTCAGGCGTGGTGGCACGCACCTGTAATCCCAGCTACTTGGGAGGGTGAGGCAGGAGAATTGCTTGAACCCAGGAGGTGGAGGTTGCAGTGATCCTAGATTGTGCCA
The DNA here is from genome assembly GCF_000001405.40 of Homo sapiens. Classification (NCBI taxonomy): domain Eukaryota; kingdom Metazoa; phylum Chordata; class Mammalia; order Primates; family Hominidae; genus Homo; species Homo sapiens. The sequence goes on along the minus strand of NC_000005.10, from coordinate 179,458,349 downwards.
CTGCACTCCAGTCTGGGCGACAAGAGCAAAACTCCACCTCAAATAATAATAATAGTAATAATAATAAATCATTAACCAATCAACTTTGTAGTCTTCTCAATGCTCTTTATTGAAAGATCTATGTTTGGCCAGGCGCAGTGGCTCACGCTTGTAATCCCAGCACTTTGGGAAGCCGAGGTGGGCGGATCACCAGGTCAGGAGATTGACACCATCCTGGCTAACATGGTGAAACCCCGCCTCTACTAAAAATACAAAAAAAGTAGCCAGACATGGTGGCGAGCGCCTGTAGTCCCAGCTACTCGGGAGGCTGAGGCAGGAGAATGGCGTGAACCCGGGAGGCGGAGCTTGCAGTGAGCCAATATCGTGCCACTGCACTCCAGCCTGGGTGAGACTCCATCTCAAAAAAAAAAAAAAAAAAAAGAAAGATCTATGTTTGCCCACTGATTTGACATTCCTCCCCCGTTGTGTACTAAATCCCCGTTTATACTTAGCCTATTTTGGAACTCCGTCTTCTGTCCCGGGCCCTCCCTCTCAGCAGCGGGGCCACTCCCTGGAAGGGAGTGCTGGTCCTGCTCTGTTACTTCTCTTTTTCAGAAATTTCCTGGATCTAACTCTGTTTTCATTCTGATACGTTGACATTTAAGTCTCTTACCCTTCCAAAAAAGCAAAAACAAGAGGAAAAAAATAGAAAACACTATCTTAAACCAAACAAAAAACCAACCAACCAACTGAACAACAAGTCAAAGCACAAAACCTCAAACCCAAACAAACCTTTTTAGGACTTTGATCAGGATCGAATTAACCTTGTAGCCAACATGGGAAGAACTGAGATCCTTATTAGTGTGCTAAGACTGCCGTAACAAATGACCGCAAACTGCGCGTCTGAAGACAGTAAGAATGTATTTTCTCACAGTTCTGGAGGCTGGAGTCCAACGTGAAGGTACTGGAAGCCCATGGTCTTTCTGAAGGTCCTAGGGGTGAATCTGGTCCATGCCTTTCTCTTGGCTTCTGATTTTGCCGGCAACCCTTGGTGTTTTCTGACCTGCAGACACATCACTCCAATCTGTGTCTCCACCTTCACACAGCATCTTCCCTGGTGTTTCTCTGTTTCTTGTCCTTGTCTTATGAGGACACCAGTTGTGTCAGATTAAGGACACATCCTGCTGTACTAAGACCACATCTTAAATTACATGTGCAATGACCCTGTTTCCTAATAAAGCCACACTCTGAAGTTACAGGAAGGACCTGAATTTTGGGAGAACAGTACTAAAACTGGTATAATATTTTTAAAATTCGTGTTGACATTGTATTAAAAAACAAAATATATTATTTAACCAAAACTTTCACATCATTTAGTATAATTTTATTATTATATTATATTATATTTGTTTATTTTTGCTCTGTTACCAGGATGGAGTCCAGTGGCACAATCTTGGCTCACTGCAACCTCCGACTCCCTGGTTCAAGTGATTCTCCTGCCTCAGCCTCCCAAGTAGATTATCTTATTATTTTTAATACCTTCACAGTCCATTCTTGTGAGTTTTCCAGGTTTATAAATGTATCATCTACATTATAGTAGAGACAGCTCTTTCGAATATTTAAACGTCTTATTTTGTCCTCGTTGTGTGGTCCTGTACCTGTAGAACAATGGGATATCATGGCCACCACCCTTCTTTGTCCTGACTTCATGGCTTCTGCCTTTGGGGGTTGGTGGAGGGTGGGGTCAGGAGAACGTGTAGGGAGCTGTTGCATGTTAAGCTGCTTTGCAACCGAGGCTAGATTCTGGCTAACGGGGCTCTTTTGACCACGTTGAGCCTTTTGCATTACTTCACATCTGGGTGGTGACTGAGGTGGGAAGAAGACAGCTCAGGTTTTCCGGGGGAGGCAGGTTACTCCTCGGGTCAACCCTGGTCAGTGCTGGGACTGCTAGGCCTCTTGGGAGTGGTTCCCACACCCCTGGCGGGCACCCCAGCATGGACAGCTGCTCAAGTTGAGACAGCCAGGTGGGAGGGGGTCCCTGGAGAACCAGCCCGCCCGCTGAGACGAAGCCTCGAGGTTTGTGACCTTTGCAGCAGGGAGGAGCCTCGCCCCGCCTCTTCCTGTGTGGAACCTGGGAACCGCCTCTTCCTGTGTGGAACCTGGGAACCGCCTCTTCCTGTGTGGAACCTGGGCGTCTCTTCCTGTGTGGAACCTGGGAACCGCCTCTTCCTGTGTGGAACCTGGGAACCGCCTCTTCCTGTGTGGAACCTGGGAACCGCCTCTTCCTGTGTGGAACCTGGGCGTCTCTTCCTGTGTGGAACCTGGGAACCGCCTCTTCCTGTGTGGAACCTGGGAACCGCCTCTTCCTGTGTGGAACCTGGGAACCGCCTCTTCCTGTGTGGAACCTGGGAACCGCCTCTTCCTGTGTGGAACCTGGGATTAGAATGGGGCGGGCAGGGAGCACTCTAGCAGGAGACTCTGGCCTTGTGGAGAATCCCTGTTACCCACCCTCCTTTTTTCCCTTTTCACCCAATAAAACATTGCTTTACTCACCCTTTAAAGCGTCTGTGAGCCTAAATTTTCATGGCCATGGGATGGACAAGATCCCGTCTTTAGCTAAACTAAGGAAAATCCTGCAACAAAGCCAGCCACGTATCTGCACTGAGGTATCAGGCTTCACTTGCCTTCCATCCGAGTCCCGTGGCTCAGGCGGACTCCGTTTTCCGGGGCTGGGAGTCCCGTATTCCATCCCCTGGAGGGCGACTCGGCTGGGGGTGCCTGATTCAAGCTGGGCCCAGGCAACCTAATATCGGAAGTCTTCTTCAGAGGAGCTCTGCCTCAGGGATTTGAGCGGGGAGGGGGCTGGCCTGAAGCTGTGGAGCCGCACAGGAAGAATAGCCTGCCTCAGGCTCAAGGCAGCAGGAAAGAGCTCAACCCGTGACCACAGCATCTGCTTGAATGGATCCGCCCATGCCTGCAGCTAATTCCTCTTTATTGCCTGAGCCAATAAAGGCTTGTTACATCATCTTGCATTAGGACACGTTAAACTAGAAGATTCTTGAAAAATACCCGTCCTGCCGGGAGCAATGGCTCCTGTCAGTAATCCCATACATTGGGAGGATGAAGTGGGAGGATAGCTTGATCCCAGGAGGTGAAGGCTGCAGTGAGCTATAATTGCGCCACTGCACTCCAGCCTGGGCAATGGAGCAAGATCCTGTCCCAGACAAAAATAAAAAGGAAAAAAATACCCATCTTACTAATCTCTCTCCTAAGAGTCAAGCTTGGAAAGTTAGTTCGACCCAGAGCTGTACTCACCTAATGCTCCTAAGCAGAGTGGTCATGGGGCATTTCATGTGTATTCATTCAGCTCATCTGTACTTATTATGTAACAGTATTATTCAAGGAACTTGGGACACATCACTGATCAAAACGGATCAAAATGATCCCTGCCTTCAGGGGGCTCATATTTTAGTAGGAGAGAACAGCTAATGAACTATAAGCGTGATTAGTCAATACATTACTTCATGTGCTAGGAAATGATTGGTGCTATGGAAGAAAGATGAAGAGTGGGGTGAGGTAGTAGGAGGTAGGCTTCAGTATGAAACAGGGTGGTCAGGTTGGGCATCACTGAGAAGGGACCTTCTGGGCAAATCCTCAAGCTGAGTGAAGGAGCTGGCGGAGTGGGGAAGAGTTCCCGGCCCAGGGGAACTGCAGCCCAGCACCCAAGACTGGACCAGGAGAGAGATGGGTGTGGCCCGCTGGAAGTGAGCCAGGGAGAGTGACAGGGGGTGGGTCCAGAGAGATAAAGCGGGCTGGCCCTGACGGTCTCAGGCTGCTGAAAGGACTTCTGCTTTTACACGAGAAAATGGGGAGCCATGGTGGGGGCCATGAGCAGAGGAGGGAAGGAGCAGAAGCAGGTCAGAGGCGGTCACAGTCTTCCAGGCTAGAGGTGATGGTGGGCCAGAACCGGAGGCTGCCATGGAGACAGTGGGACGGGGTGAGTATGGGAGTGTACTTTCAAGGTAGAGCCCAGAGAATCTGCTGATGGATTGGATGGGGGGCGGGGGGGCGGGGGCAGGGGTGTGAAGGAAGAAGAGGAGCTAAGGCACCTGGAAGAAAGATGTTGCCATCAACTGAGATGCAGAAGTTGATGCCTGGAGCAGGTGGGGCTGGGGAAGAGCAGAAATGCAGCTTTGGGCTTATTTCATTGGAGTCAAGGATGAGACATCCAGGAGAGATGCCAGCAGGCAGCTGGACATTTGACCTTGGGCTTTGGGAGCAAGGGCTGGGCTGAAGGCATGCACCTAGGGGTGGGAGGTCTATAGATGGCATCTAAAGCTGTGAGCTGGGAGATCAGTGTGGAAGTGAGTGCAGTTAGAAGAGAGGAGAGGACTGCACTGTGGCAGTCAGAAGCTGGGGAGAAGAGTAGAACCAAGCCAAGTTGGAGGGGAAACAACCAAGGCGGAGGGCAAATGCCAGGGTGGATGTCCTGGGAGCCAAGTGAAGACCGTGGATCCATGAGGAGGGCGCCATGGGCTGGGCCAAAGCCACTGACTGCTGGAGGAGGATGACCCAGAGGCCATGAGCCTGCATGAGAACAGCCTTGGTGGAGAGGTGGGGAGAAGCCCGGATGGAGTCACTGAAGGGAGGGTGGGGGATGCTGCTGCAAAGGGCGGGAACTGCATGGAAGCTGGGGGGGGGATCTGGAGTCATCTCAGTTGTGGTCAAGACGGGTGACAGAAGAGCCTATCGATCTGCTTATGGGATGATACAACAGAGAGAAACATGCAGAGAATTGCTGGGCAGCGCGTTGGAGTTGGTGAGTGGATGGGGATCCAGGCCCAAGAGGAAGAACAGAGCAATGTGTCCCTGCCTAGTGCACTCATGCTAACAAGTGAGAGGGCAGAGCAGGGAGCGATGGTGACGGGTGGGAGGGTGGGAGGGTGGTGTGTGGGGATGATGGTGATGGGTGGGAGGGTGGGAGGGTGGTATGTGGGGATGATGGTGACGGGTGGGAGGGTGGTGTGGGGAGGATGGTGACCAGTGTGAAGATGATGTGTGGGGAGGATGGTGATAGGTGGGAGAGTGGTCTCTGGGGGTGCACGTGCTGGGGAGGGGGCTGTTGTGGGTGAGAGCTATGGAAAGCCTCTCCTATTGTTGCAGTGAGCTGGGCGGCCAGGTCCGAAGCTGAGGTTGTGTGTGTGGCTGTTAGGTCCTGGGAGCTGAGCAGAGCAGAGGGTGTTCAGTCGCCAGGTGGGACGGCAGAGTGGGAGGGACCGGGGGTAGGTCAGGCAATTGTGTGTCTTCCCTGTGCCTGCCAGGGGTTCTAAGGTATGGGTCCATGACCCTGGGCCTGGCCTGGGTGTTGTCTGTTCACCTGCAGAGGGTGCTGGAAGGCAGAGGTGGGGTACCCAGGCCTTCGGCTTTGCCCAGGGCTTTGCCTAATGAGAGTGGAAAGCGTGTCGAGAGGCACAGTAGTGGAATTCAGCAGGGACGGGCATGATGGTGGACTGCAAGTCCTGGTTGAGGGTGTTGGTGTCTGGGTTATGATGGTGCAACCTGGACAGACGGGAGCTGGCGGAGCAGAGGGCGATGTCTGCAGAGATCAGCGATGACAGTGCTGAGAAGGCCCTGCGCGCCCTGAGCCAGGGCAGGTCACTGGAGAGTGGGAAGGAGCCCCAGGAGGATGCTGGAACTTGAGGATTGGACAGGGTTGGGGGGCAAAGGGACTGGTCAGTGGAAGGCAGCACAGACCAAGGGCCAGGGCGGCAGCCTTGAGGGAGCTGCAGCTGCCAGGGAGGAGAGAGGGGGCTGAAGGCAGCCATGGTGGGCAGGGTGAGCAGGCCGCGAGTGCACTGGGAAGGGACAGGGAAAGAGATCTGAGGTCTGCAGAGGCGTGAGGCAGGGAGGGGCAGAGATGGGAGAGGCAAGGGGCTTACTGTGGATGTGTAGGAGCAGGGGCTTGCAGGACCCTGAGGGGCAGGATGCCGGGGAAAGGGCTCAGAGGGTGTGAGCCCAGTCCTAGATCTGGACTGTAGGTCATAGGATGTGGCAGAATGGAGATGGAGCAGGTGCATCTGACCGGTAACCCAACCTGGGTGAGCCCAGAGTGCTGAGCTGTGGAGTCTCTGAGGCGCAGGACAAGCCCTGCCTCCTGTGGGGTGCTCCCTAAAACTGGGCCCTGGTGCTTCTGTTCTGGGTCCCTTGGCTACAGTCTACATCTGGCCCGTGTCCCATTTGCTGGGGCATCTCCCTCCCCTGGAGCCTGTCCAGGATTGTGGACCTGGCCTTGCACCTGTCCCTCTGCCCAGTGACTTCCTGCCTGCCTATAGGTGCCCGGGCAGCTCTCTGTTCCAGGATGCAGGTCAGGCCAGCCTCCACCCATATGCAGGGCCCCTGGGGCCTCAGTTTCTCTCTTGAGCATTCCATGTAGGCAGATCCAGAAGGCCTGGGCTAGGCCACTGCAGGGCAGTGCTGGGGGCAGAGATCTCTCCTGGTCTCCTGTCCCAGCTCCCTCTCCTCTTGAAACCCGGTGAAGTCCGTGCTCCTGTGCATGTCTGTTGTTCACATTTCTCCCATGGATGTATTTGCCCTCATTTGCATAAGAAATACCACACTCCCATTCTAATGAGCTCGCCCATCTGGCAGTGCAGGCCTTCTCTCTGGGCTCGGCTCCACTGAGAGCCTTGCCGGCCGGGAGCTGTTATAATTGGGCCGCTCCCTTCCAGGATCAGGAAGGACTGTCCCGAGCAGGCTCATGGCTCACCACCTGGCCCTGGGCTCCACGGCAGGCTGGAGCGGGCTCCCTGAGCTGTGGGTGTTGTGCCTGTGTGTCCATCAGCACGGGGCATTCAGGCTGGCCCTGCCTCTCCCAGACTGTCCTTGGCAGGGTCAGGGCTTGGCCACCACCAAGGTAGGCATTTCACTGTACATTTTAAAATCAAACTGGGGCAGCCTCATGGCACCCCGTGGAACTTGTCCCAGACTGGAAGGATTTGAATCCTGGAATATGGTGACACAGAAGGTGTCCTCTGGAAGCTCAGCTGTGGGCAGCGCCTGGCTGGGCTGTGCCAGACAGTGTGCCTCAGCCTCTGTGTCACTGTGACGACTCCACATTAACCACTCTCCCATCACTGCTTCTGTCCATGACATTTACTGCCCCCTCCTCTGGGCCAAGCAGGCTCAATCCTGGCCTCGGGAGACAGGAGCGAAGGGCTCCAGACTTGTGGCATGGGAACATTAGGACACAGGCGCTACCATGCAATGACATGATTGCAAGAAGAGGGGATGGAGGTGTCCGGGGAACCTGGCGGAAGAGGGTCCTGTGCAGTCTAGCATCAGGCTGTGTCCTCCACGTCTCCATGCCTGTGTGGGCAGCCCCAGGCCACCTCTGACTATAGGCAGTTTCTAGAAAGTGGTGATGGAGTCCCCCAGGCATCCCAGGAGGATGGGAGGAAACTGGCGGGGGTTGGCCAGCCTAACGGTGGCTTGAAAAGGTGGCAGCTGGAAACCCCTGGGATGCATTTTTCCCCCTTTTTGTTTTGCTACAAGAAAGTGAAGGAGAAATAGTCAGAGGGACAGTCTGTTAAATTTTCAGTTACAGCTGCACAGCCGTGTCACTGGAGAGGATGAAGCTGGCATGGATGTGCCTGGTGCCTTGAGGCCACAGGGATGGACCTTCTGGAGCCCAGGGCCTGGAGTCTGGGAGGGAGGAGGAGGAGGATGCTGATACCAGAAAGACAGCCAAGGGCGGAGGGGTGGCTGATAAGCATTAAAGAGGTCCTTTGCATTAGTTCTTCAGATTGGATTCTCTATTTGCATTTTAAAAAGAGGAGGTAGAATACGGCAGAGCACATACAGGACACCGATATGGAAGGCATCAGTCCTCGTGCGGCTCCTGGATTAACCACGCTTTCTGGTTTCTGTGTTCTATGGTGCTTTGGCATCGCAGAAGGCTTTGCTGGCGGGGAAGGGACTGCCCCTCCCAGGGCTGGCTAGTTCTGGAGACAGCACACACCTCCCTATGCAAACCAGCAGTCAGAAGCCCCTGCCCCCACCACACCCTTTATCTAACTCACACACCCAGGGAATATTCTCCCTGCCCCATCTCACTCCAGAGCATGGTACTGGATGACTAGGGACCACCCCATAGCCCTGGGCCTGCCAACATTAGGCAAACGGGCCCACCCGAAGCTTGCTCAAACTCACCTCCACCCTCATCTATTCCTTCCCACAGAGACCCCAGTGAAGGCCCGGCCTGGGCCCTCCCCTTGCTCCTTCTGCCTCGGGACTGATGTGGTGCTTCCCCATGCTGGAAAGTCATCAACTCTTCATTCAAAGGCAGTGTCTCCCAGGCTGTCATCTGACCAGAGCTGAGGAAAACAAAGTCCCAGGTGCATTTCAAGACAGCCCCTCCTCTGCCTTCCTGGTCTGTATGCTCCTCTGCCCTAGGAGGTAACCATTGTTCTCATTTCCACATAACAGTTTTGCCTACTCTTGTCCTTTATATAAAAGGAATCTTTCGGTACATTCCCTTTTGTGTCTGGCCTCTTTTCCCCAGCGTGAGCGTCACCACGCTGCTGAGATTGTTCTCTGCTGTGTGTGTGTAGTTCTCCTTCAGATGCACAGGCCACAGTTCACTTACTCATTTACTGATGAGTGTTTGGGGTTTTGACTATTAGGAATAAAGTTATGATGAACATTCTTCAATGTGTTCGTTATCGGAGAGAAGTGAAACCGGCCCAATTGTCCCATAGAACTGATGTTTATGGTTTCTTTGAATAAACATAGAAATGATCCTCCCAGTCTCACAAGATAAGATCCTTCTTGTCTTATCTGAGTTCCTTTCCCAAGAAACCACCTATCAGGCCTCCCAGATAGAATAAAAAAAAAACTCCCAAGACCACCACACCCTCCAGCCTGGGAATTGCCTAACCCACCACCTGCTTCCTGGTGACCGACTCTTCCTCGCCCCTCCCTGATTCCTGTTTTCACACACATGGTTACATTTCTTCTCTGCTACATAAACCCCTGATTTTCGTGGGTCAGGGGATGGGCTGAGACTGATCTCCCATCTCCTGGGCTGCAGCACGGGATTAAAGCTTCTTCTCTGGCAATGCTCCTTGTCTCAGTGACTGGCTTTTTGTGTGGTGAGCAGCAGCACCTAGACAAACCCCTGGTGATTCTGTAACATACACACTCATTTCTCTTCAATATAGAACAAGAGAGAAACATGTGGGTCAAAGGACCCGCATATGTTAGGGAAGAGGAGGGATTTCCAGACATTTCTGTGCAGTGGTGGTACCAATTAATATGCTCACCAACCGTGCACGGGGGTCCTAACTGCCCCACATCTACACCCACACGGGGTACAGCCAGCCTTTAATTTCAGCCATTCTGCTGGAGCACTGCAGTATCTCAGCGTGGTATTCATTTGAGTTTCCCCAATGAAGAGTGAGGTTGAGCCCCTTTTCATACATGTATCTGCCACTTGCTATCTTCTTTTGGGAAGGCTCCCGTAAGTTATTTTTGAAATTGGGTTGTCAGTCAATTTCATATCGTGAGTCTGTCACTACTGTTTGTGCATGAAGAATTGAATAGGTAACCTGCTTGTGGCCGGCCGAGGTGAGCTCTCCTTGGGTGGCTGTGCCTGTGGGAAAGACCCCGGGGGGGTGTTCTGGAGCCCAAGCACCACATCCCCCCAGACGGGGCCTGTCCCGATCTCACACTCAGCTCACCTCTCCCTCCCTGTGCCGATTTCTCACAGCGTTTTACAGTTCGTTGTCATTAGACTCTTTTGAAGTAAATTGCAAGGGTCTGATGAGTCATAACTGTGTGTGCCTCGTGTTCCTGCGTCTTGAGCCCAGCGGTAGGTCTCCCTCCATCCAGGCGGCACAGTTAGGGAGCACTCACAGGGACCAGCGCTGTCCTAGGTGCCAGGTGACCTCACGCAGGCAGCTGCATTCTAGTGGGGATGGCACTGGCAGGGACAGCAGATAGAAAATAAACAGGAACAGGAATCCAGTAATTTCTGGAAATTATACACAGAAGGAAATAAAGCAGGGTGAGGGTGTACAGTGTGTGTGTGTGTGTGTGTGTGTGTGTGGTTATCATGGGACAGGGAGTTAGGGAAGGGCTCTGTGAGAAGGTGGTTTTCAGTAGCTGCCTGAATGCAGTGGAGGGGGAAGTTCTTCTGGGGAAAGAACCATCCAGACAGAAGGAGACAGCATATGCCAAGGCCCCAAGGCAGAAGCCTGCTTCCTATGAGTGCAGCAAGAAACCCAGAGGGACAGAGAGGTGGAAGTGAGGGGAGAGCTGCGGGAGGCGAGGGGAGAGCTGTGGCCTGGTCAGTTACTTATGCACCTTAAGTCTCAGTTTCCTCCTCTATAAAATAGCGCGGGTCATCATGATTCCTACCTTGTGAGGTTGCCAAGTGGATTACGTGAAGCCGTGGTGTGTAGACCCCCCGGTACCTGCAAGTTCTCAGGAAAGGGAAGCTGTGATTATCAGGCCCTTCTTTCTCTCTGCTCCCAGGGCACCTTGTAACCCCACATCAGCTCATGTTGTAATGATGTATGTGTCTGGCTCTCCCTCGAGACCAGAGGCTGCACACTGGCACCCATAGCCTGAACCCAGCCTGGGGGTCTTCTGTTTAGCCTCACAGATTTGTTTTGTTAAGATAAATAGCTGCCGGCCAGGCGCGGTGGCTCACGCCTGTAATCCCAGTACTTTGGGAGGCCGAGATGGGCGGATCACGAGGTCAGGAGATCGAGACCATCCCGGCTAACACAGTGAAACCCCGTCTCTACTAAAAATACAAAAAAATTAGCAGGGCGTGGTGGCGGGCGCCTGTAGTCCCAGCTACCCGGGAGGCTGAGGCAGGAGAATGGTGTGAACCCGGGAGGCGGAGCTTGCAGTGAGCCGAGATTGTGCCACTGCACTCCAGCCTGGGCGACGGAGCGAGACTCCGACTCAAAGGAAAAAAAAAGACAATTAGTTGCCAACTTTCAACATTTCAGAAATTTTATATAAAAATCTGGGTTTCTGGCTTTCTTGGAAATTACAAGATCTGGCCGCTCTGGGTCCGAATGTCCACTTGGCCACGGCTGGCCGGAGGGAGCAGCGGCTGCGCACAAATTCACACCTGTGTCCTCCGCTCTGCCCGGGCCCCACCCAGCCGCTCCTCCCATCTCTCTGCCTCTTGGTCCCCGAAGGCACCTGTGGGTTTGAACATGCTGAAGACCCTGAAGTCCTTGAAGACAAACAAGTATTTTGTTCTGTTGTCTGTGTCCCTGGAAGATCCTTTCCTGGAGTTCACAGGGCCTGGGGCAAGGGTGCAATCAGAAGCCCGGGTCTCCAAAGTGAACATCAGTCGCTCCTCCCTTGTGGTCTGCAGGACCCGAGGGCTCCCACGACTTATTCAGAGGTCTGTGAAGTAAAAGTATTTTCATGTGACTGTTAAGACATTATTTGCCCTTTTCATCATGTTGACATTTAGTGTAAAAGGTACAAAATGACCGTGGGTAAAACTAATTCAGATCAAGGCAGTGGATCCCCGATGTGCCAGCTCTGTGTTCCTTACTGCTCTACACTCCCAGAGCCACAAAAAAAATGACTTTACTTAAGAACGTGCTGGGTTTTTTTGTTTTCTTGTGTTGTTAAGACGGGATCTCACTATGTTTTCCATGCTGGAGTGTAGTGATGGGATCCTGGCTCGTTGCAGCCTCCACGTCCTGTGCCCCAGCGATCTTCCTGCCAGAGCCTCCCAAGTAGCTGAGACCACAGGCATGTGCCACTATGCCTGTTTATTACTTTTTTTGGAGAGACAGGGTCTCCCTTTGCTGCCCAGGCTGGCCTGGAACTCCTGGGCTCAAGTGATCCTCTTACTTGAACATCTCAAAGTTCTGCCATTAGAGGTGTGAGCCACTGTGTCCAGCAAGAATGTCCCTGATAGCAAAGTAAAATTTATTAGTTTTTAAAAATCTTGACCTCTGGGCACGTGTCTTTTTAGTGTTTTGTGTCATGAAGTGGGAAGTAGGAAACATTTCTGCTACGTTCTCAACTACGTTTGTCTCAAAGAAAAGCACGTGTGCGATTGTTTGAGTTGCAAGCTGAACTAGCCCCTTTTCTCAGGGAATACAATTTCTACCTGGAGGGTTGGTCAACGGTCATACGATGGTTATTCAGACTTGGATATTTGGAGGACATTCTATTGAAAACCAGCAAAGTAAGCATATCTCTTCAAGGAAAATAACTGACAGCACGGAACAGTTATTTTTAAACAACTCCTAAAGATAAAATTTGAGCTCATTCCTCAAGATGAAATTTGGGCTTTCAAGCAAAAATTAGAATTTTGGCAAACCTGTGTCTGCCACTGTAAGCTTGCTGGTTTGTCGGTACCTAAAGACTTTTCTGATGAGATTAATGATGATGTTAATAAATGTGGTTTTTGATATTGTGCAAAGACATGTGTCAACATTTGGAGGATCTACATAACTCAGTGAACCAAAATTTTCCAAATGACCAATGCATGATATTTCCGCCAGGAAAAAACAATCATCCTCTGTGGATCTCTCACACTCCTACAGGTCTTGCTGGGTGTGCCAAGAATGCAAAGCTTGAGCACTCTTTTTATCCAAACTATTTCTTTCTTTTTTTTTTTTGAGACAGAGTCTCACTCTGTCCCCCATGCTGGAATGCAATGGCATGATCTCGGCTCACTGCAACTTCCGCCTCCTGGGTTCATGCAGTTCTCCTGCTTCAATCTCCAGAGTAGCTGGGACTTCGGGCACCTGCCACCACGCTCAGCTAATTTATTTATTTGTTTATTTATTTGAGACAGTCTCACTTTGTCTCTGAGGCTGGAGTGCAGTGGCATGATCTCAGCTCACTGCCACCTCTGCCTCCCTGGTTCAAGTGATTCTTCTGTCTCAGCCTCTCAAGTAGCTGGGATTACAGGCGCACACCAGCAAGCCCGGCTAATTTTTGTATTTTTACTAGATATGGGGTTTCACCATGTTGGCCAGGCTGGTCTTGAACTCCTGACCTCAAGTGATCCGCCCACCTCCCAAAGTGCTGGGATTAAAGGCATGAGCCACTGTGCCTGGTCCATCCAAAGTATTTCTAAGATTTATGCTTATAGTGAGCAGCCTTGAGGAATGAGATACTGTCTCCCTCTGGGACAAACAGCAGGCTTACTTACTGCATGCTACAAAACAGACGAGTCCCCAAGCTCAGGGTTCCTCAGCTACAGCACAAACCAACTGTGTGTGTAGCATCTATCTCAGCTCCTCTGCATCACCTCTGCAGGACTTGGGGGACAGAGGGAACAAGTGCAAAACAGGCTGGTGCCCGCTCTGCTTGCTGTGTGAGCAGCAATAATAAAGTCCTTTGTCTCTGACACAGGAATCTCATCTCTTTTGCCAGCATCCACGCAACAGTAACAAGTTAATGGATTAGTTTGTAGTAGAGTAAGATGAAATCCCAGTCCTGATGGTTCCATGCCCATGCAAACATGCATGGGCAAAAGATCCATTCAAAGTCCAAGAAAAATGAATGAGTTTTGATGGAGCAGAGAACAAAAGTTTATCACTCTGGATTCAATTTCACATTGCATATAGCAGGGTGGATATTAGGTTGAAGGGAACGAGGTGCCGGGTCAGCAGCTGCACACCCCTGAGAACCAGCGCCTCCCTGAGTTTGCACCCTAGGCCTCACTTGTCTCACCCTAGTCTGGCCCCAGCAACTAATGCTTAGGAAACTGCTACTCGTTGAGTTCTGTAGTAGCATCAAATAAGAACACCCGTAGCTCTCTGAAAATGCTCTGAAAACATGGCTCGCTTTTCTTTCTTTTTTTTTTTTTTTTTTTTTTGAGACGGAGTCTTGCTCTCTGTCACCCAGGCTGGAGAGCAGTGGCATGATCTTGGCTCACTGCAAGCTCTGCCTCCCAGGTTCACGCCATTCTCCTGCCTCAGCCTCCCGAGTAGCTGGGACTACAGGCGCCCGCCACCACGCCCGGCTAATTTTTTGTATTTTTAGTAGAGACGGGGTTTTACCGTGTTAGCCAGGATGCTCTTGATCTCCTGACCTTGTGATCTGCCTGCCTCAGCCTCCCAAAGTGCTGGGATTACAGGCATGAGCCACCACGCCCGGCCACAGCTCCCTTTTCTAGTTTCCTCTCTGTGGGAGTCTGGAATTTCTTCATATGCTTCAACCTGAGAACACATCACAACACAGACTGAAGGCAGAGCAGAGATGAGAACTCAGCTGTCTGCTCTTCATCCAGGCAGTAAAGAGATTTGCAAAGCTCTCCAACAGTACCACTCTTCTCACTACAGTTTTTGGTTTGTCTTGGAGAATAGAATTAGTTTTTTTTTTTTTTTAAATACACACACACAAAAGTGTTACTTATATAAGCATGTATTATTGTTGTTTTTATTATTATTATTAGGCTTATTATTGTTATTTTAAAAATAACTTAATGATTAAATATTTTAAAACTCCTCAATTTAAAATTACAATATGGGCCAGGTGCGGTGGCTCACACCTGTAATCCCAGCAGGTTGGGAGGCCAAAGTGGGTGGATCACCTGAGGTCAGAGGTTCGAGACCAGCCTGGCCAACTTGGTGAAACCCTGTCTCTACTAAAAATACAAAAATTAGTCGGCCATGGTGGTGCATGCCTGTAGTCCCGGCTACTTGGGAAACTGAGGCAGGAGAATCGCTTGAAACCAGGAGGTGGAGGTTGCAGTGAGCCGAGATCACACCACTGCACTCCAGCCTGGGCAACAGAAGGAGACTCTGCCTCAAAACAAAAGAAAGATATATACATAGATATATAGACATATATGTTATACATATATATAAATATACATATATTACATGTATATACATATACATATTATATATACATATAAATAAATCAATAACATTTCAAAGTACATTTTAAACGTTACAAACAACAGCAGTTTTCATAAAGTAGCTCCTAAATGCAATTTCTTTTTTGGGGGGTGGCCATTATAAAGTTACTCCCACTGATTTTACCATTTTTTCCTTAGAATCTTACGTGGTCTATGTGGGATCTGAAGGCAATAACCCTGTCAGTGTTGTCTGGAAGAGTCTGTTACAAGGAAGAAATATTTTGTGAAACCTGTCATGCAGAAATCACTGGAGATAAAAACAAGGAAGTGAAATGCACAGTCCTGCCTTTAAAAAGCTTACTTTCTCCTACGAGAAATCCATCTATTTTTTTCATCCATTAAATGGTCATCCATCCACCTACCCATCTGTCCATCCATTTCTCAATCCTTTCATCTGTCCACTCATGTGGCCACCTTTCATTCATCTGTCCATCTAGCTACCCACTACTCACTCATTACTCATTCATCCATCCATCCACCCCAACCATCCTACCACCCATCCCTTCATCCATTCATTCACCCACACATCCATCCATCCATTTCTCAATCCTTTCATCTGTCCACTCATGTGGCCACCTTTCATTCATCTGTCCATCTAGCTACCCACTACTCACTCACTACTCATTCATCCATCCATCCACCCCAACCATCCTACCACCCATCCCTTCATCCATTCATTCACCCACACATCCATCCATCCATTTCTCAATCCTTTCATCTGTCCACTCATGTGTCTACCTTTCTTTCACCTGTCCATATACCTACCCACTACCTACTCACTACTCAAAGATCCATCCATCCATCCATCCATCCATCCATCCATTCATCCAACTCAACCATCCTACCACCCATTCCTTCATCCATTTGTTCACCCACACATCCATCCATCCATTTCTCAATCCTTTCATCTGCCCAACCATGTGTCTACCTTTCATTCACCTGTCCATATACCTATCCACTACCTACTCACTACTCAAAGATCCATCCATCCATCCATCCATTCATCCAACTCAACCATCCTACCGCCCATTCCTTCATCCATTTGTTCACCCACACATCCATCCATCCATTTCTCAATCCTTTCATCTGCCCAACCATGTGTCCATCTTTCATTCATCTGTCCATCTAGCTACCAACTACCGACTCACTCTTCGAACATCCATCCATCCATCCCAACCATCCTACCACCCGTTCGTTTACCCACACTTCCATCCATCCATCCATTTGTCCATCCATCTTTATCTTTAGCAGGTATTTGGATGGTGGCCCTGAGGGGGGTGCAGCCTAGTACATAGTTCATGTGGAGACAAAGGTGGTGGGATGATTAGCAAAGGAGGGTGTAGGCCGGGCGCGGTGGCTCACACCTGTAATCCCAGCACTTTGGGAGGCCGAGGCAGGTGGATCACGAGGTCAGCAGATGGAGACTATCCTGGCTAACATGGTGAAATGCCATCTCGACTAAAAATATAAAAAAATTAGCTGGACGTGGTGGCGGGCACCTGTAGTCCCAGCTGCTCCGGAGGCTGGGGCAGAAGAATGGCGTGAACCCGGGAGGCGGAGCTTGCAGTGAGCCGAGATTGCGCCACCGCACTCCAGCCTGGGCGACAGAGCGAGACTCCGTCTCAAAGTAAAAAAAAAAAAAGAAATGCAGGGCGTGAGAAAGTATCTGTGCATCTGTGCCCTGGCACCTTTCATTGAGAGTTTTGGGAAGGAAGTATCGCCATGTGACACAGTAGGGGAAGGGGCGAGTGTCTTCCCCATTAGCCAAAGGAGCAACGTTGTTATTCATTCACCAGGAAGAACATCAGAGTCACGTGACTAGGAGGCATATTAACTTCCCATATGGAGCTGCTGATGGGAGAATGCAGAATGCATCTTACTCTGCAACAAGGCTTGACTTAGGCGGTGTTTTTCTTTTTTTATTTGTCACAGGGTCTCACCGTCTATAGCCTAGAGCTCCTGAGTGTGTGTGATACTCCCATCTCAGCTTCCTGCATAGCTAGGGCCATAGGCATGTGCCAACACCCCAGCTAATTTAAAAATTTATTTATTTATTTATTTTTATTTTTATTTTTTGAGATGGAGTCTGCAACTGTCGCACAGGCTGGAGTGCAGTGGCGCGATCTCAGCTCACTGCAAGCTCCGCCTCCTGGATTCACGCCATTCTCCTGCCTCAGTCTCCCGAGTAGCTGGGACTACAGGCGCCCGCCACCACGCCCGGCTAATTTTTTGTATTTTTAGTAGAGACGGGGTTTCACCGTGTTAGCCAGGATGGTCTCGATCTCCTGACCTCGTGATCTGCTTGCCTTGGCCGCCAAAAGTGCTGGGATTACAGGCATGATCCACCGTGCCAGGCCCAAAAAATTTATTTTATAGAGACAAGGTCTCACTATGTTTCCCAGGCTGGTCTCCCACTGTGGCCTCAAGCTATCCTCCCACCTCAACCTGGGGTTACAGGAATGAGCCTGAAGTGCTGGGATTAAAGGAATGAGTCACCACGCCTGGCTCAATTTAGAGTGTTTTTGAAGTGAACCCCCTGTGTCCTAGAGAGGAAGGCCCTGTGACTCTCATTCTTTCCTCCGCCCACAGACACAGGACTACTCCCAACCCCAGACCCAGCAGATCATGGGATGAGGTGTCTAGTGGAGGGAAACACTTCTGTTTCCCATGGGCTGGGAATGCCTAGGGCTTGGCGGAGCTTGGGTCACGTGCCACTCACGGTGGTGACAGGAGTGGGGAGGACCTAACATCAGGGAACGGACTACAGAGATGGGCCAAGCTGGAAACATAAGCCCAGCCTGGAGGCCAGGGAGGTGGGTTCAGTCCCACCCCAGCTCAAAGTTCTGAGTGGAATCTTTATGGAATGGTGGGGCTGGGGAAGCGGGGGGCGATCCTAAAGAAAGGCAAGTGGGGCAGAGAACAGTGCAGCCACCCTCACGGCCACCCGTGGGCAAGGGGCCCTGGCGCCTGTGATATGGTTTGGATATTTGTCCCTGCCCACATCTCAGGCTGAAATGGAGTCTTCAGTGTTGGAGGTGGGGGGTGTTTGGGTCATGGGGCAGATTCCTCATGGCTTGGTGCTGTCCTCGCCATAGTGAGTTCTTGGTAGACCTGGTTGTTGTAAAGTGTGGCGCCCGTCCCCTTCTTTCTCACTCCTGCTTTTGCCGTGTGATGTGCCTGCTCCCCCTTCACCTCCCGCCATGACTGGAAGTTTCCTGAGGCCTCCCCAGAAGCAGATGCCAGTACCATGCTTCCTGTACAGCCTGCAGAACCATGAGGGAATTAAAATGCTCCTTCTTATAAATGACCGAGTTCCAGGTGATTCTTTACAGCAGCATGAGAACAGCCAGCACAGCCTCCTGTCTTAGCCCTGTCCGACCCCGCAGGACCATCTGGATTGCTGCCTTCCCTTTGGTCCCCTCCTTGTCTCCAGGACTCTCTCCCCTCCCACTGCCAACAGCCTGGCGCAGCTCCTTCTACCTTTGGTGGTGGATTTTTGTGCCAGCTGCCGTTAGCCCTACCGAGGTCCCTTCTGGGAGGGCTGTCTCTCCCCTGCAAGACCGCCTCATGCAGCTGGAGAGAAGCACGGCTGCTCCTCCTGTCCCTGCGGGCGCAGTCGTGTCGGAGGAAAAGCTGCTCCTCCCTGCAGCACCCTGGCCTTGGAGGGAGATGAAATCAATAGGTGGCTGCCTGCTGGCTGCGGTTCTCCTAGACTGGGGGCTCGCGCCGCCGTCTCTTCTTGCTTGGTATTTACCAAGTAAAAGTCATTTCCCTGGAGACGTCCGATTTATTGACACTGAGAGATGAACGCCATCTGGTCTTGGATAGGCTCAGAAAGCCTCTGGTGTTTCTGAGCAGAGTCTCGGAGAGAAGGAGTCTGCCTGGGCCCAGAGGTTGGCAAAGGAGGCCGGCCTGGCTCCCACCCTGGCCTGGAGTGGGGTGGCCTGGGCACGGGGAACAGGTGGTGGCAGCATCTGAGCTTTGCACCACCTGGAATCTGGGGTGTGTGGGGTGATGCTGCCTGCAGATTGAGCCTGGGTGGCTAGTCCAGGCTCCAGGGAGCTGCCCCCTTGAGTGTCCCTTTCATCCCAGGCCAGCCCTTCCTCTGTCCCTTGTGTCTGGCTCAGCCCTGGCTCTTGGGAGGGAAGGGTTGGGATGCCCTCGGTCCTGTCACCTGGGGTCTTTGTAGTCAGTATTGCTTTAGACCTGGGTGGTGGGTGCCCTGCCCTGGGATCCTGGGCCCCCGAGTTTGGAATACCGTTCTCAGAAATTCCAAGACCCCCTCCAGTGCCTGAGACCAGTCAGCACTGCCAAAGGTGCCGAGGGGTAGCTCCCCAAGCCTGAGTGGGGAACCATGTGGGGCCTGGTGGCCCCTGTTCCTCTCCACGGAGCACTGTGTGGCCCCATGCCCAGTGTGGAAAGTTGGTTGCATGTCTGAAGGAGCTTTGGAACTCAGGCTGATGGTGGTTGTGAGGACTGTGTGGCTGGGGTCCAGTCCTGGAAAGGGGGCCTAGGAACAGATGGTTCCCTGCTAGCCTGTGTGGGCTTCCTTTAGTTGGATCACGTGAGGTTGGGCGGCCAGCATGGTGCTGTCTTGTTGATTTTAGGAAAACCTGATAGTTTATAGAAACGAGGACTCCCGCCTTAGAATGTATTTGCCCGGGGTCCACATGCCCTAGGGGAGGCCTCTTCCACCCACCCAGGAGCTTGTCTGCTTCCTACCTGGAAATGCCTCAGCGCCCAGGCCTCCCTCCTTGAGACCACACCCTCCTTTCCAGCACAGTCCCTGGGCGGATGATTGTCTGCCTGTCCCACTTTGAGTCCTCCCTCTGTAGTTGAGGACTGGAGAGGGAGGACACGCTGCCTACCCGATTGTGACCAGCCGTCGGGCGACCGTGTGCTCCAGGGGAGACTGGGCCCCTCTCCATGGCCAGGCTGGCAGTGAAGAGGGATCCTGGGGGTCCTGGGGGTCCCAGGCAGGCTTTGCTCCTCCTCAGGCCCAGCCGGGAGGCCCCTGCCCCGGCTGCTCCCTGCCCCTCCCTTCTCCACGCTCCTCAGCCCCTCTGTGTGCCGGGCACCAAGGGATGGGAGGAGTGAACAGAGGCCGGTCACCCAGGTCCCGTGGTGCCTGCATCTGCCTCCTCCCGGCCTGGGCTGCGTCCCAGAGTAGCTGACGGCTCTGGTTGTTGCCTGACCCCAGGGCCGGCCCTGCCCCCAACCGTGGTGTCTGGGAGGACTGGTTCCAGCATGCGGGGGCCACCGAGTGGAGCCCTGGGAGACTGGGAGGCTTTACACTGGTGACAGATGCTTCCTTCCAGACAGCAGATAAAGGTCGCTCCCAAATTCCAGAATAAAAACATCCACTTATCTGGAAAATGTCAAGAAGAACAGCTGCCCTGTGCGGAGTTGAGCCCACAGGGTGCGGCAGGAGCCAAGCAGGGGCTCAGGCCTAGGCACATGTGTCCTGGAGGGGCAGACAACAGCCGCCCCCCACCCCCAGGCTCATGTGAGAACACCGGCTGGGCTGGGTCCCTGTGTCAGGGAGGTGGCAGCCTGCGGCAGGAGAAGCAGGCAGTGCAGATGCCAGATCTCGCGGCAAGATGCATTCTGCTTGACACCACCCACGGTGGCGCACCGGCAGCTCCACACCCCAGCCTCGATGCTCTGGGTCTCTCTGAAGATGCCCGCCCTGGGGCCGACATCCTTGTGTGCTGGAAGGCCCTGCTTAGCTGGCTTCACCCACCCGCTGCTGCCCTACGGGCCCCCTTGGGCATCTGACCCTTTCTGTGAAAGGAGCTCCAGGCAGTGCCCTGAGACCATGGCTCGGGCAGAGCGGTGGGACATGAGAGCTCACAGGCACAGCGGCAGCCTTCATCCTGCCTTGAGGAGTCACAGTGCTCCTGGCCCCGAGCTGCAGAGAAAGCAGGGCGTGGCCACAGAGAGTGGATGTCTGTCTTGGTGGGTGGTCGCTGTCCTGTTAGCCAGCAGCCAAAACGGGGGCCTATGGCAACAGTCCAGATGTCAGACCGTGGGCTGGTGGGGAGGCCTTGGGAGGCAGAGTGGCGAAGGTAGAACCTTGCTCCTGGCCCTGGGGGCAGCGTGCAGGGGCCATAGAGGCTGCCTGAGCAGGTGGGGCTGGAAGCCACCGCCAGCCGCCTTTGCCAAAGTCACCCTGCTGATGATGCCTTATTTCTCCATTGCTTACTGAAACCATAAAACTGGACATTTTATGGAGAAAAAAGCAAGCTCCATTCTCCTGAACTTTAAATGCCCATGTAGCTCTTTCATGAGAAAGACATGTGTCTGCCATTGCATAAATGCACACATATATGGACATTTCAGCCAGGAAAATTAGCCATGTTGAGCTGACGGGAAAGGCTCATCTTTACTCTGCCCAAGCATTTTTATTAAGGATGGAAGGATGCAGGCACCCACCCTCTATTCCCTGCCTCCCCGGTACTGGCATGAAACGCCTTTTGTATGTTATTTTGCTGAGTGTGCAAAACAACTTCCTGAGGCACATTGTAGTTTTGTTCCCATTTTATAGACTAGGAAGTTGAGGCCGGGCATGGTTAGCACCTTCCCAGGGTCACATGGCTGGACAGTGCTGGGGCCTAGCCTCTGCAGCAAGGACCAACGAGGCCCTAGCTGGGGAGGTGGGAGTCACCGCAGCAGCCCCGACCTGCCACTTCCTTCACCTCGGAGTGTCCTTAGAAACGTCTGAGTGCAAATCCTGAAGCTGAATTCTCGTTTCTGGCTCTGGACAGCTTCACTCATCCGCTGTGGTCGTCATGTCAAAGTTCAAGCAGGCAGACAGACTTGATTAGATTTGATTTTATCCCTTGTTTGAATTATTCATGCCTCTCCTCTAATCTCCCCGGGAATAATTTAATAACGCACGGCAGCAGGAGGGCGCCTGGGTGAGTGGTGTCTGCGACGTGCTGGCCAAGAACTGCCGCCATGGCTGCCGAGCAGGGGCTGCCCCACACTCTCTACTTTAAAGCAGAGCCCGCCCTGAGTATGCAGCACCCAGGACCCCGCTTGGGACAGTTTCCGGGCAGGTAGAGCTCCAGCACCTGCACAGTCCTGCATCCTGGTCCCTGACACTTCGGCTTCCAGCACTCTCCCTAGTCCTGTGCCTGGACCCCTGGACTCTGCTCCTGTCATCTCCCACCCAGGCCACGTTCCCACAGCCCCAGACTGTGGGGGAGAAAACCCCAGCCACAGTTCTCTCCTGTCCAGATCCTTCCGGAGGTACCTACGTATTTCTCTTGGGCAAGGTCCCAGCTCATTGGCCTGGGACTGTGGTTTGAATGTTTGTCCCCCCCACAGCTCAGGCTGAAATCCAATTGCCATTGTCAAAGTGTTGAGAGGTGGGGCCTTTACAAGATGATTAGGCCTCAAGGGCTCCACCCTCAAGTGTTCAGCTCCTTTCCTCTAGGAGCTGCTCCCCACCCCTCCCAGGCATGGGCCACAGCAGCCAAGTTCAGGCCACGTGGTCCTGTCGCCTCGGCCACATTCATCTGGCTGGGGTGGATAACTGACCCTAGCGTGGCCAAGCAGATGCCTTCTTCTAGGAATTTGTAATGGAAGCGAAGATTCTAATTGAGTCCGGGCTGGGGGGTGAACCCAGGTGAAGGGAACTCAGGCCCCAGGTCAACAGCCCTGCATCATACCCTCACCCTCAGAGAGGCGGCAGAAGGAAGGGACGGAAGACGATGTGCTGGGAGCTGCAGACGGGACCTGGGGCCTGGGCCTCACATGCATTGGCACAAACTTACTTGTTCATAATCATCTCTTATCTTTTTTTTTGTTTCTTTGCAAAATTGTTTTTGAGACAAAATTCATATGACACAAAGTTCACTATTTTAAAGCATACAATTCAGTGGATTACGTATATTCACAATACTGGGCAACCACCACTACAGTCTAATTCCAGAACATTGTCATCCCCCCACCAAAGAATCTCTGGACCTATCAGCAGTCACCCACCCCTTGCCCTGCCCCATCCCTGAGCAAACACTGATGTATTTCCTGTCTCTAGATTTGCCTGCTCTGGACATTTCATAAAAAGAAGTCATCCCACATACAACATGGGACCTTCCGGGAGAAACTGCAGCCACTCAGCACCGTGTGTTTGAGATCCATCCTGCTGGAGTGTGCGGCAGCACTTCAGTTACTTTCAAGAGTGAATGATACTCCATTGCAGAGAGGGACCACATTTGGTTTCTATGTTCATCAGTTGGTGGGCACTTGAGTTGTTTCCCCTTTTTGGCGTGTGCGAACAATATTGCTGTGAACATTTGGGTACGTTTCTGTGTGGACGTGCGATTTCAATGCGGGGTTATCTGGTAACTTTCTGTTTGATATTTTGTCCTCTTATTTTTTGAATGCCTGTAAGACCTATAGTGAGCTCTCCCAAACATTTCTGACGGTATCTTCTTGCCCCATCTCTACTGTTTTTCTGCTCAAGTGCTCAGCAGGGTTTCCTCATTTTCTTTTGCTTTTTAAAGAACTATCTTTTGGCTTTGTCTATCCTCTTTATTGGATGCTTTAAAAATTTGATCAACTTGGCAGGGTGCGGTGGCTCACGCCTGTAATCCCAGCACTTTGGGAGGCCGAGGCCGGCGGATCACGAGGTCAAGAGATCGAGATCATCCTGGCTAACACGGTGAAACCCCGTCTCTACTAAAAAATACAAAAAATTAGCCGGGCGTGGTGGCGGGCGCCTGTAGTCCCAGCTACTCGGGAGGCTGAGGCAGGAGAATGGCGTGAACCCGGGAGGCGGAGCTTGCAGTGAGCCGAGATCATGCCACTGCAATCCCGCCTCAGTGACAGAGCGAGACTCCGTCTCAAAAAAAAAAAAAAAGAAAAAAAGAAAATAGAATAAGATCAAATTTCCTCAACTTAATAAAGGGTGTCTGCTGGAAATCTCAAACAAATGTTATATTTAATGGTGAAATAATTAGACTCATTCCTGATAGTCACTCAGGATAAGTTCTTTGTTATCACTTCTAGCTAAAAAGTGGAGTTGGCCATGAAAAAATTAAAATTGCAAAGGAAGAGAAGAAAAGCTATCATTGATTCAATCACCTGTGAAATTAATATTGTTTGAGAGTTGAGCAAAATGGTGAAATATAAGATCAACATAAAAAGCCAGTAGCGTTCCTAACCACAGCATTAACTAATTAAAAGCACAACAGAAACGAGATGTCAGTCACAATAGCCACAGAATCCAGGCAATGCCTCGGAATGAATCTAACATAAAATGGGAGGATCCCACTGTGGAAAATCATAAAAACCTTACTAGAGAATATAAAAGAAAATCTGAAGTGATGGTAAGAAATAGCACATGCAGCCGGGTGCGGTGGCTCACGCCTGTAATCCTAGCACTTTGGGAGGCCGAGGCAGGTGGATCACAAGGTCAGGAGTTCAAGACCAGCCTGGCCAAGATGGTGAAACCCTGTCTCTACTAAAAATACAAAAAAATTAGCCAGGCATGGTGGTGGGCGCCTGTAATCCCAGCCACTCGGGAGGCTGAGGCAGAGAATTGCTTGAACCCGGGAGGTGGAGGTTGCAGTGAGCCGAGATCATGCCACTGTACTCCAGCCTGGGCAACAGAGCAAGACTCGTCTCAAAAAAAAAAAAAAAAAAAGAAGTAGCACATGCAGGAAGCAAATAGCTAATATCGCAAAGACTTCCTTCCTGAATTCATATAAATTCAATAAAATCTCAATTAAAATCTTCCCAGGGGCTGGGTGCGGTGGCTCATGCCTGTAAACCCAGCACTTTGGGAGGCCAAGGCTGGCAGATCACGAGGTCAGATCAAGACCATCCTGGCTAACACAGTGAAACCCCGTCTCTGCTAAAAAATACAAAAAATTAGCTGGGTGTGGTGGCGGGCACCTGTAGTCCCAGCTACTCGGGAGGCTGAGGCAGGAGAATGGCGTGAACCTGGGAGGTGGAGCTTGCAGTGAGTGGAGATCGCGCCGCTGCACTCCAGCCTGGGAGACAGAGCGAGACTCTGTCTCAAAAAAAAAAAAAAAATCTTCCTAGGAAAGATGTTTCATGAAGCTCATCAAACTGATCCCAGAATTCACATAGAGGAAAACATGGGCAAGAAGAGTGGAACATGCTTTACAGGAACAGCAGCAGCTACTCACCTCACCGTTATGTGGGGAGTAGCAGCCAACGGGCACTACCAGGTGCCTCTGAGATGCTGGAATCCTTAGGCTTGGACTAGCGTGCTGTTGGTACAAGACACAGAATGGACAGTGAGCCAGGAGAGAGGCCGGGACACATCTCTGCATTTATGGGAATTTACTGCAAGGTGGAAGTGGCATCTCCAATTGGTGGGAAGAGCTTTTTTTTTTCTTTTTCTTTTTCTTAAAATGAAAAATAAACAGGATATGATTATTGCTATTTGTGTTAGTCAGGGCACACACAGGAAAGGAATACTGAAAATAGGAGGAATTGAACACAGGGAACTGGTTACACAGGAGATGGGAGAGTTGAGATGCCAACAGGGTCCAGAGACACAGCAGTCCCAGCAGAGGCTGGAGGGATGAGGGGGCGGGGGCTACTGGCAGAGGGTGGGAGTGCAGGGGTGCTCCCCCTGGGGAGCTAGAGCAACCTGGGCAGGGCACGAGGAGTGGAAACACCTGGCTCCCCCTGCCCTTGCCCTCCAGTCTCTTGCTGGTGCCTTCCATGGACTGAGCCCAGCTGGACACAGCCTGGAGGTGGGGAACTTGACCTGCAGGGGGCTGCTCCCTACAGGCCGTGGCTGAGCAAGGGAAGGGCCGGGTGCAAACAGGCCAAGGCTGGTGTACCATGTTCTCCGGATAATAGAAACCGAGGTACCTCCTCACGGCTTTCAGAAGATAAATTCTTCATTGATCAAAGATTGAGACATAAGAAACAAAAGAATCAGAGTACTGACAGAATATAGAATATGGTCATAGCATTTGAGTACACGATGCTTTAAAGAATATTCAACCTAAAAATAAACCAGAAAAGAGAGTTCATACAATTTTTAATATGGACCTGAAAATTCTCCTTATGACAAAAGATGCCATAAGCAACAAGAAAATGATAGACAACGTGAAACTATTTGCAACCTATAAAAAAGAGAAAAGATGAATACTAGAATATGTAAGCATCTTGCAAATAAACCATTGAAAGACAAACCAATCCAAAAGAAAATGTGGGAATTCCAAAAAGAAGAAATTCAGGAAATTCCAAGAAGGGAAACCACAAATAGACAGGAACGATGAAATGATGGCCAAGGTCACTAATAACTGAGGAAATGTTCATTAAAACAACAGCAAGTCTGGGCGTGGCGGCTCACACCTGTAATCCCAGCACTTTGGGAGGCCGAGGCGGGCAGATCACAAGGTCAGGAGATCAAGACCATCCTGGCTAACATGGTGAAACCCTGTCTCAACTAAAAATGCAAAAAATTAGCCGGGCATGGTGGCGGGCGCCTGTAGTCCCAGCTACTCGGGAGGCTGAGGCAGGAGAATGGCGTGAACCTGGGAGGCTGAGCCTGCAGTGAGCTGAGATCTCACCACTGCATTGCAGCATGGGTGACAGAGCGAGACTCCGTCTCAAAAAAAAAAAAAAAAAAAAAAAGAAAGAAAGAAAAGAAAAGAAAAAAAAACAGCGAGACAGCATCTTGGGTTAACATGAATGAAGTGGTAATCAATGTCAGCAAGAGCTATGACGGAGACTCAGACACACTCCCATCACCCACGTCTCTCTTTCACCATAACTACACCCACATTTTTAGCAGGGCACAGGCCCTTCCAGAATAAAGGCTGCATTTCGCAATGTGCTTTGCAGCTAGGTATGGCCATGTGACTAGGTCCAATGACATGAAATACAAGTATGGAAGGGGGATTTCTGGAACTTCCTTAACAGATGGCTGGTGCATGCTCTTTGCCCCTTCTTCTCTGCCCCTTCCTCTTTCCCAATGGTGGGAATGTAGCTGTGATGGCTGGAGCCACAGCATCAGCCAGGTGACCTGGGGAATGGAGGCCAGGCATGATGGAGCCACTAGGCCGGGTTCCTGGGGATGTTGGGGAGCAGAAGTGCTGAGCGACATCAGCCTGCCCAGCTATGGTCTGTGATGTAGGAGAGGCATCCACCTCTGTCTTGTTTATTTTCCATTCCTGCTACTCATTACCAAATGGATTCTTAATTGGTGCAGGGCATAGATGAGCACAGGCACTGCTATGGGCTGAATTGTGACCCCCAAATTCATAGGTTGAAGTCCAAACCCCTGGTGCCTCAGAACGTGGGTGTATTTGGAGATAGGGCCTGTAAAGACATAGAGAAGGTAAAATAGGCCCTATGGGTGGGCCCTAATCCAATAGGACTGTTGTCCTTACAGAGGAGATGAGGACACAGACACACACATGGGCGGCCACTGGAGGACACAGGTAGAGGCAGCGTCTGCAAGCCAAGGAGATAGGCCTCAGGAGAACCAGCCCTGCCCATGCCTTGATCTCGGAGCTCCAGCCCCCAGGACTGTGAGGGAACACATTTCTGTTGTTCAGGCCCCATCTGCGGTAGTTTATCATGATAGCCCTAGTTCAGCCAAAGACACTTTGGGGGCAACAGTTTACTAAAATCAAAACCGCTCCTGCTCTTTGATGCTGTGTATGGAGGAGGCTCAGATGCCCAGCACCCAGCAGGTGCTCAGCAGACAGTTGTCCTTTCCCGTGGACACGTGTATGAGGCTTCTTGCAGCAGTGGTCTCCGTGCGTGTAAACTCGTGGACAAGTGTCTGTAGGAACAGGTTCCATGCTGGCAATGCGGTCACCTCTGCAGAGAGCTGTGCTGGGCTTGGGCTGTGAGGTGCCACGGCCAGAGCTCCACGGGGCAGCCTTGTGCCCACCTATCTGCCCCATCGCCTGTGGCTTCGGCCTCCCCACCTACCCTCCTGCCCATCTCAGCCCATGGAACCTGCTCTTTCTGTCTTCTGCCAGCCCTTCCCTCCAGCCTTGGATGAGCTCCTGCCTGGAGACCCCTGCCCTAGCAGCCTCCCTGGCCCGGCCGACCTCATTCCTGCAGGCGAGAGGGTGCATGTTTCTGAGAGTTCCCAGCTGGGTTAGGGCCCGGAGAGCAGCTGGGATATCACAGCAGCTCCTGAGTGGCTGAGGAGCCCACTGACCCCCATGCAGAGGCTTTCAAAGGACTGACCAAGCAGAGGTCTTCATTCACGCACGGCTCAAACCTTCAGGAGTAAATCCTCACTGACAGGCCCACCCTGAGGTGGGAATGAGGCAGAGAGGTGGCTTCCAAGGCCTGGTCCCAAAACCTTTCAGAACGGCTGTGTCCATAGAGCCCCTGCCAGGCAGAGGGCAAACAACCAGGGCCACAGAGGCGCTCCCAGTGTGGACAGCCTGTGTAGATGGGGTGTTGGGTGGCGCTCCCAGTGTGGACAGCCTGTGTAGATGGGGTGTTGGGTGGCGCTCCCAGTGTGGACAGCCTGTGTAGATGGGGTGTTGGGTGGTGCTCCCAGTGTGGACAGCCTGTGTAGATGGGGTGTTGGATGGTGCTCCCAGTGTGGACAGCCCGTGTAGATGGGGTGTTGGATGACGCTCCCATGGTGGACAGCCTGTATAGATGAGGCAGGGGACAGTACTTCCAGTGTGGACAGCCTGTGTATATGAAGTGTTGGATGGCGCTCCCAGTGTGGACAGCCTGTGTAGATGGGGTGTTGGATGGTGCTCCCAGTGTGGACAGCCCGTGTAGATGGGGTGTTGGATGACGCTCCCATGGTGGACAGCCTGTATAGATGAGGCAGGGGACAGTACTTCCAGTGTGGACAGCCTGTGTATATGAAGTGTTGGATGGCGCTCCCAGTGTGGACAGCCTCATGGTTGGGTGGTGAGCGATGCTCCCCTGTGGACAGCCTGTGTGGCTGGCCCCTGTCCCAGGTAGCATGCTGTCACCATCTCTGCTATGCTCACCTCCACTGAGCACTTAAATTACTCTTAGCAATTCGTTTACATGAAGAAAATGGAAATGATCTCAAATCCCCTGCCTGTCACCAGGAAGAAGAATTAAGCAGAAAACAACAAACAAACCCATTCTTCCCTTTCTTCTGAGAGCCTGGGGGTCCCGAGCACAGGAAGGGAAGTGAGCCGCTGGCCCCCTTTGATCAGGAGCTGCCTTTCTCTGGGAGCCTTATCCCAGCTCCATGTCTAAGCCCTGAAGCTCTGGGAAGGGCAGAGAACAGTCGCAGCATGAATGAGGCAGTAGCCCCATGTCTCTTCCCTTGCAGGCCTGTGGTACCCCAGACCCTGGCCCAGCTGCCAGTGCAGCTGCCTGGGGTGTGAGCTGCACTGTCCGTCCCTTGCGTTTCCAGAGCCTCGTGGTTTGCCCTGTGCCCCAGCTTGCTTGGCAGGGCCTGGATGTGGTCGCCAGTGGGTCCTGCTCTGATGAGCGATACCCAGGGCTCCTCCCAGCCCTGATGGTCTCCACCCATCCTGCAGCCTCCTAGGACCCAGCCCATGCCTCCATCTTATCTGGGACACTGGGCAGGGTCCCCTCTCCTTGTTAGCCGGAGTGGCTCCTTCCTTGAGCCCTGCCTGGGCTGCCCTCTGTCATCCCCACCGGCTGAAAGGGGCTGCCCCTGGGGACACACAGGTGGGCTGTCAGGGAGAGCATGGGGCCGGCCAGTGGCAACGAAGCCCCTGGACTTGGCAGCTTGGGCAGCAAGGGCAGGAGCCTCCTCAATCGGAGGTGTGCCCAGAAGCCACAGTGGCAGCTTCGGAGGGAAGCGAGGAAGAGCAGCGGCCCTTTCCTCGTCCTTCTGGGTGGGGCCGGGCTACCCTAAGCTGCTAGGAAGAGCTCCTCATGCGGCAGGCGGGTGTGGGACAGGGCCCTGGTGGGCCAGGGTTCCAGGATAGTCAGAATCTGAGAACTGGTTCCCGGTGTGGGGGGCTCATTCCAGGAAGGCTCTTTGGGATCCAGGGAGGCCAGGCGCACTGAGCTGCAGGCCGAGGGGTGCGTGGATATGAGTCTGAAGCTCTGTCCAGACCACCTGCTGTAGCCAGGGAGGTAGGCCTGGGCACTCTGAGCCTCTACTCTTCCATCTGCCAATTGCGATGGCGATTTTCTTTTTTCTTTTCTTTTTTTTTTTTTTGAGACGGAGTCTCGCTCTGTCACTCAGGCTGGAGTGCAGTGGCGCGATCTCGGCTCACTACAAGCTCCGCCTCCCGGGTTCATGCCATTCTCCTGCCTCAGCCTCCCGAGTAGCTGGGACTACAGGCGCCCGCCACCACGCCCGGATAATTTTTTTTGTATTTTTAGTAGAGGTGGGGTTTCACCGTGTCAGCCAGGATGGTCTCGATCTCCTGACCTCGTGATCTGCCCGCCTCGGCCTCCCAACGTGCTGGGATTACAGGCGTGAGCCCCCGCGCCCGGCCTGCGATGGCGATACTGACCTCGGAGCTGGTGCAGCACCTCGGTGAGCTGAAGGCTGTAAAGTGCGCAGCCTTGGCCTGGGGCCGAGACTACACAAGGCGCTGTGCTCTGCAGGTCCCAGGAGGAGCTGGGAGGTGCAGGCAGGAAACTGCGGATGCCGCTCAGGCTGGCCCTCGCCTGGGGTCCCTCTTGGCGCCTCGCCCTCTCCATGGCGAGCTTTTGTTGTGTGTGGCAGGTGCTGTGTGAGGGGTCTCGCCTGCCGTCATCTGGCAACCCCCAGAAGCCGGAGCTGGGAGCTCTGGGGTTTGCAGATGAGGTCCCTGAGGTCAGGGAGGCCCTGCCTGTGGCCACACCATGGGGACACACGGAGGCGGATTTGGAGGCGGCCTCAGAACCAGCGCTCAGCTTAGGACAGCCCCGCTGAGTTAAATGCGGGAATCCCAAGAGGAGCTTCACAGCCTTCACTCTGATGGACTGGGGAACGGGGTCCCGGGAGCCAGGTTCAACACGGGGTCGCGGGACCGGGGGAGGAAAGGAGACCAGGACTGGCGTGCGGAGCTTGCTGCAGAGGCCCTGGGAGGGGCCCAGAGGCAACCATGGGGTTTTCTGAAGCTTCTTCCTTCTCGGGGTCCCAAAGAGGCTCAGAGACTCACTGATTTTTATTTTCCCTGAAACTAATTACTATTAGAAGACTCCGTGAATTTGAGCTTAGGGAGATGTCCGAGTGCCTGGGAGTGGCCTGCAGGTGCCCAGCGAGCTTCCCTGCTCTGCTCCTGCTTGGAGCTGCTGAGTCCTTTCTGCCTCCCCCGTGAGAGTCGCTGATCTCAGGGCCGAGGGCACGGGCTGCTGACAGAGGAGAGAACCAGGGCCTCCGCCTGCTCAGGCCTGCTGCGACAAAACACCGAACACTGGATGGTTTATACACAGCAGAAACTTCGCTCTCACACCGAACACTGGGTGGTTTATACACAACAGAAACTTCGCTCTCACAGTTCTGGAGGCTGCGACGGTCTGTGAGCAGACTGGGAGCCTAGTGAGGGCTTGTTTCCTGGTTCAAAGAGGACATCTTTTTGCTGTGCCTGGAAGTAGTGGATGGGGCTGGTTGACTCTCTGGGGTCTCTTTGATAAGGGCATTAATCCCATGTATGAGGGCTCTGCCCACGTCACCCAATCACCTCCCAAAGGCCCCACTCCTAACACCATCCCATTGGGGATTAGGTTGCAACCTGTGAAGTTTGGGGGTCACACACATTCAGGCTGTAGCATCCAGCCTCGCTCCAGGTTAGGTGCCCGGGAAGGACTGGCGCTCACGGAGCCCCAAGTCTATTAAGTTGTTTCCTGAGTTCCATGAAGCTGAGCGGGGGAAAGGAGGAGGCTTGCAAATAAAACACAGAGAGAAAAGTCCTGCATGCCCTCTTCACCTGCCCCATCCCCCACCGAGCCCCCGATGACTGACAATCACCTTATCACCCTCCTGTGGGTCCTTCCTGCACTTCTTTATGCAAATACAAGCAGATGCAGCTACCTGCTCTCCCTCTCCCTCCACCTTGCTCCCATAAAGGTAACTACTATATACTCGTACTCAAGAATGTACCTGGAAATCTTTCCAGATTGATGCCTGGAGTGTGTGCTCATCCTTTTATAAATGGCCGTGGCATCAGCCAGGGGCCCACTAGGAAACAGACGGCTCAC
This sequence comes from Homo sapiens, assembly GCF_000001405.40. Lineage (NCBI taxonomy): Eukaryota > Metazoa > Chordata > Mammalia > Primates > Hominidae > Homo > Homo sapiens. The sequence goes on along the minus strand of NC_000005.10, from coordinate 179,426,326 downwards.
CCAAATTGGGCAATTCGAGGAGCATTTTCTAGAAGACTCTTTATAGGGTGTGAGTAGCACAAGACTCTTGTCCTTATCACCTTAGGCCTGGCAGGAATTGTGACCTTCGGTCTAGGATGCAGCCAGCCTGAAGGGCTCTTGCAGGGAGGGAATGAACTCTACTGCCTCTCTCCCCACTGGCTGAGCCCAGCTGGAAGTCAGAGGGCAAGGGGCCCATTGTCACAGTCCTACCACAGCCTCCAGGGGTCGTGAACAGGGGGGACGATCTGGAATCTGGATAGGCAATGGGAAGATGGCTAATGGGTTTCCAGATCTTTCCATGCATGCTGTTCCATATACATTTGTTGTGAAAATAAGTCTCCTGTGGCTTCACTTAGTTTCCAAACTATTGCTCTTACTCATGGAGGTATATCCAAAGGATTCATTTCCAGAAGGGAATTGCTGGGTCAAAGGGTAAATGCACGCACAGCTTTTTGATAGTCATTACCAAAGTGCCTGCCACTTGGATGCTGCTCTCCCCACAAAGTTTCACCTCCCAAGGGTGCTGTCAGGTTTGCATTTCTGCCAAGCTCACAGTGAGGAGCCACTGCGGGGCTAATCACTCTTTTGAGTGAATTGGGTATCTTTGCTTATGTCTGAGGCCATTTGTATTTCACTATGTATTCATTTTTTCCTATTGAGTCATTGACGTTTTTCTTATTAGATTCTAAGAGCTTTTTACATATTAGAGATTTATCCCTCTGACAGTGATCTGGGTTGCAAATATTTTTTTTTTCTCAGTTGTCATTTGACTTTGCTTACCGTGGCTTTTGCCCTGCAGAAGTTTCCAATTTTTGTGTAGTCTATCAATCTTTTATGGTGGCTACATTTTGAGCTATATTGCAAAAAGTCTTCCTTCCTTCACCTTGTAAAGGAATCCACCCATATTTTTTCCCGTACATTCATGGTTTCATTTATACATTTAAACTTTTGCTCCATTTAGAAATTATCCGGATGTATGGTGTGAAGTATGGATCTTACCTGATCTTTTCCCAGAAAGCTGCCAATTTATCCTGACATCATTTATTAACACATTCATCTTTACTTCACTGGTTGAGATGCTGCATTTATCATTGACTAACTTCCTGCATGTATGCGGATCTCTGTCATCCCTGTTGGTCTGTGGATTGTCTCTGCGTGGTGACACTCTGTCTTGATATTAAGGTTGTATAACGTTTTAATATCTGATAGGGTGGATTCCTTCCATTGCTTCTCCCAAGTGTTTTGGGTACTTTGAAAATCAGCACTTGCAAACTACAGATTGTTTACGTGTAAGATTTCCCCCTTCCTCATTTCCCTGGACTGTCCTTGCCTGACCTCGTCCTCCAGGTGAACATTCAATGATGGAGGTTGCCTTTAATTGGCAGGTGTGCAATATTTCTAAGCTACTGTGTGTTCAGTATTGGATAAGGAAGGAAAATAACACTTTTGGACACAGGTGTTCCTGATATAAGATGCGAGCTGGCCCCGCCCTCTCCAGCTGTGCTCTCTTCCTCTCCATCCCACCCCAGCTCTCCTTGGGTGGGCAGATGCACCGGCAGCCTCTCCGAGAGACCTCTATGCCTTCTTAAAAGACAAACTTACACAAATTAAATTTAGCAGAGTTTAACTGAGCAAAGAACGATTTTCGGATTGGGCGGCCCCCAATCAGAGTAAGTTCAGAGTGGCTCCAGCTCTGCCACTTCACTGGAGATTTATGAACAGAAGTAGGAACGTGATGCACAGAAAAGAGAAGTGAGGTACAGAAGCAGCTGGATTCCTTACAACTTGACGTTTGCCTTATTTGAACAGGGTTTGAACGGTTGTCTGCCTTAGGCTGCAGCTCAGGGATTGGTACAAGAGTAGGTTACAGTCTGTCCCACACCCAGTTTGGGGACAGTTCACTATGTATGGCGGAACTTGGTATTTTTTTTTTGAGACGGAGTTTTGCTCCTGTTGCCCAGGCTGGAGTGCAATGGTGCAATCTCAGCTCCCTGCAACCTCCGCCTCCGGGATTCAAGCGATTCTTCTGCCTCAGCCTCCTGAATAGCTGGGATTACAGGCGCCTGCCACCAGGCTTGGCTAATTTTTTTTTTTTTTTTTGAGACAGATTCTCCCTCTGTCGCCCAGGCTGGAGTGCAGTGGTGCGATCTTGGCTCACTGCAAGCTCCGCCTCCCGGGTTCACGCCTTTCTCCTGCCTCAGCCTCCCGAGTAGCTGGGACTACAGGTGCCCGCCACCACGCCTGGCTAATTTTTTGTATTTTTATTGAAGACAGGGTTTCACCGTGTTAGACAGGATGGTCTCGATCTCCTGACCTTGTGATCTGCCCACCTCGGCCTCCCAAAGTGCTGGGATTACAGGCGTGAGCCACCACGTCGGGCCATGCCTGGCTAATTTTTGTATTTTTTAGTAGAGACAGGGTTTTACTGTGTTGACCAGGCTGGTTTCAAACTCCTGACCTCAGGTGATCCACCCACCTTGGCTTTCCAAAGTGTCAGGATTACAGGCATGAGCCACCACGCCTGGCTGTATGGAGGAACTTTTAGGCCAAAGTTAAAATATACAAGGAGACAGCTTTCAGTTAAACTTAATTCACACTCTGCTGCTCCTCTGTTCTGGAGACTCTCTCCCCTACACCCCCAGCAGCCCTCAAACTAGGAGCCGTTTTTCTGGAGGTCACTGTCCTGTATCCATGTGGGTAATAGGCAATTGTCTGCTTCTGCACTGTGGGCAGGTCTGTGTCTCTGCCCAGCTGTAGCTAAGTGCCAGGCCTGAGATGCATCTTCTGCTCCAATGACCTCAGCTTGCCTGTTGGACATCTCTGCATTCTGCAGGCACCTAAGACTCAACGTGCACATACATGCTCAATGCCCCCCTTTCATCTCCCCCAGCGGCCCCTCTGTCCAAGGTGCTCACAGTGGGGTGCCCACTGACAGCTGCCCGCTCCTGGCCCACCAGTCAGCTGCTCATTCCACTGCTCGGTCCTCTCGACTCCATCTCTCAAATGCATGTTGTATGTAAATCTGCACAGCCCTTCACCGACCTGGCCACTCTGGATTGCTGTAATGCTCCTTCCTGCTGAGGAGACTCCTGCAGGCTGCCAGCATGATCCTTCCAGAATGCAGAGCTGTTGATGTCACTTCCCTGACCAGTGCTCCCTCACGGTCTCCTGTAGCTGTCAGGATGACATTCAGACCCAGTGGCCTGGCATCCTGGGTCCTTTGTGGCCCCGCCTCAGGTGACCTCATCAGCACCCCCATCAATGCCTTCACCCCGCCCATCCTCGAGGAGGCTTCCTCCCTGCCCATTGTCTGACCAGCAGCCCCTCAGCCTTCAGGTCTCAGCATCTGCATGGTGTCCTCGGGGAAGACCCTCTGGACTCACAGGTCTGGCCTGGGGGCCCACGGATCTTCCAGGTGTGCGGCACCACCACGGCCCATGAGGACATATCTGTGGCTGTCACATGGCTCCCAGTGCCTGGCAGGGAGGAGCTTATTCTTGCTCAAATTAAGAAATTAATGCCCAGAAACCAGGACAGCAGCCATTGATAGAAAAATATGTTTTTCAGGAACATCCCTGAGTTTTCCCCTTGGCAATGAAATGCTCTCAGTCTCTCAAGGGCTTAAAGAAGAGTTGGCACAGAGCCAGCCTGTAGAGAAAGGAGATGAGCCCAGGCAAAAGCTTCCATAAGGCATGTGCCGCACTGCTGGCCCCCAGGGACCCATGAAAGGATGGATCATGTTTTCCGCAGGAAAAACGGAAATTTGTCATCTCCTCTAGTGCTGGGAGCCAAGGCCACTCCGACTCTGGAGTCACCTTTGTGATGACACCAGGGGCATCCTTGGGTGTTGGGAGAGGCTGGGGCTGGGCTTGGGGTCTCAGAGGCCACTGGGACCTGGCGCTGCCCAGTGTCTTGGGACCTCTAGCCTGGGAAGGTGCTGCCAGGGAAGGTGCTGCCACAAGCTCAAGGGCGCCAAATCATGCCCAGCAGGGCTGAGCAGGGTTGCAGGAAAGCCCCAAGCTCATTCTGCCTCCTCTCATGGGGGCCTCTCATGCATACGTGCCCCTCACTTGTGGCAGCAGTGGCATCTCTGGAGAACCATGGTTTCCCCCACCTCAGCTCTCAGTGCTGCTGGGGTCTCCATCCCCTCTTTGGGGACCATGCTCTCATGGGCACATGGTTGAGAGTTGCCAAAACACAAGTTGCCAGAGAGCATGGCATGAGATAGCCAAGCTGGCCAGTCACTGAACATGGTCAGACACTATTAGAATCCAACATTCCCACTCACTTAAATCCCCGTGAATCTGCCTTCCCCCTTGTTGGACTTCTCCAGGGCTTCACTCTCCTCCCCACGCAGGCTCTGCTTCTTACAGAGAAGAATCCCTAGTGGGAGTTCTACCTTCTCTTGCAGCCCAGGGGAAGATGCTGCTTGGTCCCAGAGGCTGGGTTTCCCCAGGAGAGCTGACAGCAGCAGGAGGCACGAGCCCAGGTCTCTGGTCAGACAGTCCTGGGCTCAGTACAGCTGGCTCATGGGAGGTGGCTGTCCTTGGTGCTACAGCTCCAAGGGGCGTGTGGGCAGGGGTACAGTCCAATTCGTCCCTGGTGCCCTGGAGCCCTCACTGGATAGTAGGTGCCCAGGGAACGTTGTTGACATGGGGTCTTTAGATGGGGGCAGTGGCCAAGCCGTGGTCCTGCGGAGTAAAGCGAACAGCTGGTGCAGACAGCGGGGGCACAGCCATGCAGACCTGAGTGTTGAACCAGGACCAAAGTGGCAAGTGCCTCAAGCCAAGAGCTGCGGGAAGTCCGGAATGACTGCCTGGAGGGAAGGTCAGAGCGGGCCATTTGACCTTGAAGGATGGTAAGTTTTGACAGCTGTGGGTATATAAAGAGCGATCTTCAGGCCTGAGCCAAGAGCGAGTGCAGGAGGGTGCTGGGTGTGTGCAGGTATACAAACAGGCGTTTTGGGTTAGATGAGTAATTGGGGAAACAAACACATGAAAAAGCCTCAACCCAATTAGTCATCAAAGGATGCAAATTCAAGCAATAGCAAGCCACTCCCCCAGGCCCCTCCATATTGTTAAGTAGGTAAAGATAAAATTACATCGCTATCTAGGTTTGGAAGGGAGTTGGAAGGCTGACCCTCTGGCCAGTGTAAACTGGGTCAAATATTTTTTAAGGCCATGCGGTGACCTGCATACTAAGCTATAAAGTACCTGTGCTTTATCCAGAGGGCTACTTCTAGGATATTATTCTAAGGATAGAATTAAAGCTGGCCACCAAAATTTAGCTCTACTGATTTTCATCAAAGCATTGTTCATGACAATGAAAACTCTCAACGTATAACAACAGTGAATCGGTTGAGCAAAATCTTTGGTCATTAAAAACCATGCAGTCAAGGAGCAAAAGCTATTGACATGTGAAAATGTTCCCGATAAGCTAGTAAGTGGGAAAAGCAGGCTATAAAACAGCGTGAACAGAACGAGCCAAGCTTTGCTCATCTGAATGTCAGTGAAAGTAGGTATGTGTGTGGTGGGCCTTCCCCCTCCCACCCACAGGACACGGTGCTGCAGGTCCTGTCTCTGGATGTGGCGGCCTCCTTCCTGGGTGGCTCTGGATGGGTGAACCTCCTGGCTACAGGTTTGCAGGAGGCCAGGCCTGCCTCTTGGACTGTCATGCCACCGAGCTCTCTCGTGCCTCATGTCCTCGAAACTCTGGAGGGCTAATACCTCCTCCCTTGGGCTGGTGCCTCCTCCCTCTGGCTGTCTGCAGGACAATGGCACCAGGGAGGGGGTTAAGCCTCAGCCTCCACCTCGAGTCCCAGCCCTGTTCTGTTTGGGAGGAGCTGGGCACACACCCAGCTAATAATAAAAGGGGAGCTTCCATGTGCCTTTGACATTGTCCCCCTCCCTTCCCACAGCCTCCCTGAAAGCCTCATGGGCAGCAAGGTGGCAGGGCTGAGGCAAGGTTCTGTGATTCCCCAGTCCCACTATATATATATATATTTTTTTTTTTTTTTTTTTTTTTGAGATGGAGTCTCGCTCTGTCACCCAGGCTGGAGTGCAATTGTACGATCTCGGCTCACTGCAACCTCTGCCTCCTGGGTTCAAGCAGTTCTCCTGCCTCAGCCTCCAGAGTAGCTGGGATTACAGGCACATGCCACCACGCCTGGCTAAATTTTTGTATTTTAGTAGAGATGGGGTTTCACCATGTTGCCCAGGCTGGTCTCGAACTCTTGAGCTTAGGCAATCCATCTGCCTCAGCCTCCCAACGTGCTAGGATTACAGGCGTGAGCCACTGCACCCAGCCCCACTATGATTTTTTTGTGAATATTTTTGAATATGTGCTTTCTGTTTTAAAGTTCAAAAAACACAAAAGGGTATTATACAGCAATAACTACGATTTCTAACTGTGTCTTCCAGCCCCTCAGAGCCAGTTATTTATTTCTTGTGGGGTCTCCCACGGTTGTTTTCTTTGAGAAGTTGTATGATTATCCAGACAAACACGTGCATGTAATGCCTCCCTGCAACTGCTCCCGCGGACACTGCTCTGCGTCCTGCTTTTCACTCGATGTGTCTTGGCTCTGATTGCACAGGGGTCTGAGAGCCTCGTTTTCATGGCTCTGCAATACCCCGCTGTAGGAAGTACCGTTATTGACCTAACGAAGGACGCTCAGGCTGTTTCCCCTCCTTTTCGATGAAGGTTTTGCACAGTTAATTTGGCACCTGTGTGTGTGATGATATTTGTAGATAAAGTTCTAGAAATGTGTGAAGCTTTGTATCCAGAAATTTGGGTTGAAATCACCAAAGCACCCTCCACGGCAGACACACCAATCACACTCCAGTAGGAGCGCGTGGACAGCCCGTTTCTCCACGCCTTTACCAACACAGTGAGCTCTGACATTTTTGATCTTGGAAAAAGAGTTGAAATTTTCTATCTTATTATGAATGGCATTGAGCACCTTTTAATATTCTTTAAAAAACTTGTGACTTAGCACATGGGATGAGCAGGGCGTATGAGGCATTTGCACAGTGCGATGAATGTCCTCAATGAGACTGAGATAAACCAGCAGGCAGGGCAGGAACAGAAGCACGCCCAGCACCCGGACCCGCTCCACTGCGCGAGCCCTCTGTGTCGTGATTTCCTCCTCCCCACAGGCAGACACTGTCCTGAATTCTGTAAATCCCACTGAGGAGTCATCCTGGAAATCACACACTTGTCCTTAACTCAGCAAAGTTGGTGTCGACCAACACCCTCATCTTCCTCCCAGATGACACAGAGACCGTGGAACACCCTCATCCCCGCTTATGTGTCACTGCTGTTGCACATTTAAATTGTGTCTTTTTCCTGTGACTTCCAGGGTCTGTTTCTAGTGTCTTTGTCAGTGATATCAGATCTAAATATTTTCCCCAGTTTGTCTTTTTTTAATTCTTATTTTGGCCACAGAGGTTTTGCCACGCAGTTTTCCAAAATACATGCTTTTGTTTGTTTGTTTGTTTTGAGACAGAGTCTTACTCTGTTGCCCAGGCTGGAGTGCAGTGGCGCGATCTTGGCTCACTTCAACCTCCGCCTCCCGAGTTCAAGTGATTCTCCTACCTCAGCCTCCCGAGTAGCTGGGATTATGGGCACCTGCCACCACACCTGGCTAATTATTATTATTATTATTGAGATGGAGTCTCTCTCTGTTGCCCAGGCTGGAGTGCAGTGGCGCGATCTCGGCTCACTGCAAGCTCCGCCTCCCGGGTTCACGCCATTCTCCTGCCTCAGCCTCCCCAGTAGCTGGGACTATAGGCACCCACCACCATGCCCAGCTACTTCTTTGTATTTTTAGTAGAGATGGGGTTTCACCATGTTAGCCAGGATGGTCTCAATCTCCTGACCTTGTGATCCACCCACCTTGGCCTCCCAAAGTGCTGGGATTACAGGTGTAAATTTTTTTGTATTTTTTAGTAGAGATGAGGTTTTGCCATGTTGGTCAGGCTGGTTGTGAACTCCTGACCTCAGGTGATCCGCCCACCTCTGCCTCCCAAAGTGTTGGGATTACAGGCGTGAGCCACTGCACCGGACTACGTATTAACAAAGAAAGACTAGCAGGTCATACACCAAACTGAGAGCCACCCCCAACACAACACATGGTGGAATTGTGGCTGTTTTTTGTGTTTTCCCTTTGCATTTTTAAAGTTGTTGTTGTTGCTGATGCTGAGGGCACATTACATTTGCAACCAGAGAAAGATGTAACAGGTGCCATGCAAGTAGAATTGTTCATCTATGGCAGGACTGCCCAGGGCTTTGTGGGCCTCGGGTACCAATGAATTCACTTGGCATTAAGGCCCACGTGGCCTTGGGTCCTGCCTCCCCTCCCTGAGCCCATGGCAGCCCGAGGGTCTCACCTGTCCCGTGGTCACCCAGCTGCTTCTGGGAGACCTACACAAGGCTCCCAGAACTTTGCCTGTTGCCCATGCCACCCGTGCTGCTGGCCTCTGCCCTGACCCTCTCCACCACTGTGCCCCTGGGGCATGCCATTGGCCCTGTCCTCTGGGCACCTTCCTGAGGTTTGAGCCATGAGACCTGGGCACCCTCTTGACCCTGTGCCACTTCCCAAAAGACTGAAGTGGCTGCAGGCAGCTTTAGTTGAAACTTTTCTCTCCTTTCCTCTATAACCTTCACATCCCCTGGCTGCATCCTGCAGGTGCTTAGTAAATGCTTGTGCACTAAAGATACGAAAGGGGAATGAGTTGGGGCCCAAAGCAGGAGCAGAAGGGATTTCCTGGGTCCCGGGATGCCCTGAAGAGGGCCAGTGAGTGCTCTGACCCAGCCATCAGGAGTGACCCAGGACAGAGGGCAGGTGCCATGGCAGGACTGAGCAGGTGCAGGAGAGGCTGGTGGGGCCCAGGTGCTGCCTGGGCTGGACCCTTTGCGCCCATAGAGAGCCCAGCATCACAGGCCAGCACCTGCCCAGCAGGGCACAGCAGTTGTGGGGTTTCCTCACTGCCCCAGTGCAGGCAGCAGGGTGGCCAGAACCATCTCATTCCCCGCCTCTTGCCCAGCATCCCAGCTTCCAAGCCCACAGCCCCGGAAGGAAGCCCGTCAACCCCCTCCTTCCTAACCGTCCTTGCTGTCTGCTCCCTTGGGAGACATTCCTGTTGCTGCTGGGGTGTCTCCCGGGTAATTGTGTGTGCATTTTAATGTTACCGGCCCTGCCGCTTCCAGCCCCTGGTTTGCTCTTTCAGGCCAGCTGCTGGAGAGCCATGGGGCACGCTGCGACCACCCAGGCAAGCCCATAGCTCACATGGCCTTTGTTTCCACAATAGCCTCCTCCCCTGCTCGATGTTATGTCCCCATCCCCGTTTTCCTGTCTTTTTTGGCTCCCACATTTAATTTATGCAATCCTGTTATATGTGTGTGTTCTCGTAAGCACCTTAAATCCTTTCCAGAAACGTTGGGTAGAAATCATAAATACCATTTCTATCTTCATCCGGAGTCTGGAGGTGGGTAAACATCTCATCTCAGTGACAGCTAATCTTATTAACCCTTACCTGGGTGGACAGGGGCATGGGTCCCGAGTAGAGCAGGGCCCTCCGAGCCTGTGGGGAGGCTCTGGGAGGGGGCAGTGGAGAGGAGACTCCTCAGGCTGAGTGAAGCAGGAGGGTCTGCCAGGCCCCTTGTGGCGTGTGGCGAGGGTATATGGAATATGACGGCGGGGCCAGGAGCCGGTGTCAGTGCTGCTGAGGACGCCATTGCCACTGAGGATCCTGGATTTTCGTAGGGGAGCCACGTCAGTCCCCTGGTTATTTGAGAAAAGGCCCATTTTCACCCCTTGGGAGCAAGGCTTTGCTGCGCTTGCCTGGCAGGGTTGCAGACGTCCTGGCGGGAGAGCAGGTGGGCAGCTGGACCTCTGGTTCCAGGCTGAGTAGGGAAGGAAGAGAGGTGGGGGCAGGTGTGGACAAGATCTGGGTGTGGGGAGGGGCGTGGGCTGAGAGAGCCCTGGCTGGCTGGGGTGTGAGGTTTGACACTGTCTCCGAGGTGGTGCTGTCCTGGTGACGAGTGGTTTTCAGGGCGGCTGTGGGAGATGCTGGTTGCGGCGGTGTGGCAGGCAGGCTGTGACCCTGTGGACGCTCCTTAGGGTGGGCACTGAGGAGGGAGGCAGGGCGGCAGTGTGGGGTGGGGCTGCCCTCCTGGGGCTGGAGGGAGGGCACTGTTGGGGCCGGGGCTATGGGCTTTGCCTGTTGGTCAGCCATCCCCTCTTCTCCTAGGAACAGTGCCCAAGAGCCCTTGGGATGCAGCCTCCATCCCACCTCTCTTTGCAGACCCTGTGGTCTCTGTGGGGCTCCAGCCCCTCTCCACTGGCTCATGGTAGGTCCGAACATCAAGCTGATTCAATTCTACTGAGTCCTGGGGCTGGTGTGGGAACTTCTGGGAAGAACAAGGCCTGGAACAATGTGGTGGCAGCCACGTTGCCACCATGAGGAGGCTGAAAGCAAAACCATCCGGAATAGACTGGAGAAACAGAGAATACCTAGGGACTGGAGGTGTTGTTTTGAGCCCGTAAATCCAGCTGTACTTGAAGATGATTTATAGAGTCATCGAATTAAAGTTTCATACAGGGTATGTGGACTTCAGGAGAGGCTTGATCGAGCAGCTCAATGGTGTCATGAAAAACACAGATCCCTTCTGGCTGTCTGCTTTTCACCTCCAATGGTGCCAGCTTCATCCTAAGGCTGGCTCTACTCTTGGTAGCAGAGTGGCTGCCAGCAGCGACTGCAATCACGCCCTTCCTCATTCAGTGAAAACTGCCGTCCCACCCCACCTCCAGAAGCTCCTGGGGAATAGGGAGGCATTTCTCGCACAATCCCTGCAGACACCTCGTCATTCTCATTGGCCTGACTTGGGTCATATGCCTGCCCCTGGACCAATCCATCTGGTCAGAGGTCTGAGATGTTCTGACTGAGCTGAGCAGCACCAAGAGGCCCCAACTTGAAATTCTGGGGTCCTGTTAAGAATGATAAATATGATTCCTACCTTCATCTGGAGCATAGAGGGGGGTAAGATGGGGGGCTGTATCCTTGGGGGGCCACCTTGCAGTGCTGGCAGAGCAGACCCAGCTTCCTGTGAGGCCCAAGTGACCCCACACTGGGTGTTCCCTTGGGTGGGGTCTCCTGGCAGCAGAGCCGGTGAGATCTGGGCTCTTCTCCAGCTCTCGCCTCTGGTCAGTGTCTTTGGTCTGACTCCAGTTACAGGGGAACAGGGGTGCAGTGCTGCACTGGTGGCAGCTGGAGGGGCACCCCACTCAGGATGAGGCTTAGAGAAGTCATCATGGGGTGGGGGGATGGCAGGGGAGGGGAGCTGTCACGGCTCTAGCTCATCTGCCTTCCTCAGAGGGTTCTGTGGACAGATGGGGGCTGCATCCATGGCATGGAAGAGGCCCTGTGCCTGGAGCCAAGTGGCCTGCCTTAGTTCCTCCTCCACAAATGAATCTCAACCCTGTGTGACACATGTGTCACTGAGCTCTGTAGAAACAGGAATGGTCCACGTCACTGAGGCTGACATTTCTTGTTCTGATGTGATGAAATTAATAACTGTGGCTTAATGGATACAAATCAAAGTGTAACTCATCTGTCAAAGGTCCCTCGGCCCCATTAACTCTGAAGTCACTGTGGGTCACTGACCGTGGCTGGGGTGGGTGGGGCTGAGCCCAGCTGAGGGGGCCCCATGTGCTTCCAGAGCTGGCCGCCCCTGATGAGGCCAGTGCCAAGCAGCTCCCTGGGAAAGGTGCTCCGGAATCTCATGCACATCTGAAGTTGAGTTTTATCGGGAGGGTCTCCTGCCTGTGGCCCGACAGCAGGGGCAAGGACAGAGACCCTGGGCTGTGCCTGAGGGTGGTCCTGTACTTGGGACCACACCATGGTAGTCTGTGTGCTCTGGAGGCAGGGCTGCCATGTGCAGAGTGAGGTGGTGGCAGGGGCTGCCCGTGACCTTCCTGTGGTGTGGAGATGTGCCTGCATTTCCACCATCACTTTACCCCGTTTCAGAAAGGGTTTTGCAAGGGAACATGGCTGTAGATGTCTTGGGGCTGCCTCCCACAGCAGCTCACATTCCTGCGCCCTGCGTCCCACCCTGTCTTGCTCTGGCCCCCGCAGCCAGGACAGCGCTGCTTGGATGGGCTTCTGTTCCCTTTGAAGGCACTTCCCTTCATAGCCTCCTCCCTTCCTTCCCTGGATGCTGCTGCTGCCCCGAGAGCCCCAGGCCTGGCCTTCTCTGTGCCAGGCACAGGATGTGGTGGCCCACAGCATGGACACAGCCCTGCCTCCCTGGAGCTGACCTTCCCAGGGGGACAGTGACAAGATGATTGTCCGAGGGAGGCTGGCAGGCAGGTGGGGAGGCTGCTCTGGGGGGGGCCCTGAGAAGCACTGTGTACCTGGAACTGCCAAAGACTAACCTGGGAGCTGGGCAGAGTGTGGGGAGCGGGCAGGGGACCTTGCTGCCAGGGGGTGCTGCTCTGAGGAGAGTGCATAAGAAGCGTGGACAGCCTGTGGCCGGCTCCCGGGTGCTGTGCCCTGCTGGGAGTGCGGCTGTGACAGACTCTCGGATGGGCAGGATCCTGCCCTCAGGGAGCTGCTGTCCAGTGGGGAGAGCAGGCACTGTCTGGCCCACCAGATAGTCAACACTGAAAGCCACAGAGTGAGGATGTGGGGACAGGCACCTGGTGGCTGTGCTGAGGGATGGAGATGGGCACAGCCCTTCCGAGAGCAAAAGGGACCTGCCAGTCAGACAGAGCCCAGCTAGTATCCCTGCAGAGCCCAGCCATGCCACTCCCAGTGCAGTTTGTCCATAGCTTGTTTGGGCACCTTTTGTGGGGGTGGTGTTGGGGACACCCTGAGCTCTGCTGCCGTGAGAAGCAGCAATCTCAGAAATTCACAGTGACATGGCTGGGCCCTCACTCGGCAAGGGCTATTCCACACTGTGTGGGAACGAGGGGTCCACCTAGAAGTAGCCCCCATTTCACAAGGGCGAACACAAGGCAAAGACGTGGCAAAGGTATGGAGTGTTGGCCGTGCATGGAAGGCTTGCTCAGCAGGAGCTGGAGTGTAGGGGAAAGGGGCCGGTGAACTCAATAGAACAAGGCAGGGATCTTGGGGGCCCTCGTGGGACGCAGGCATAGACTGAGGAGTGTGAATGCAGTTCCTTCCTTCCAAAGCTCAAACCATGACAGGCAGACAGCACGGGGCTGTGCGTCTCATAGCTGCTCTGAAGAGGGACGGGACGGGAGTCCCAGCATGGCCGTGCTGGGGGAGGGCGGAAGGTCGGTGGGGGGAGGCTGGAAGGTCGGTGGGGGGAGGGTGGAAGGTCGGTGAGGGGGAGAGTGGAAGGTCGGGGGGGAGGGTGGAAGGTCGTTGGGGGGGAGGGTGGAAGGTCATTGGGGGGAGGGTGGAAGGTCGGTGGGGGGGAGGGTGGAAGGTCGGTGGGGGGGAGGGTGGAAGGCCGGTAGGGGGATGGTGGAAGGCCGGTAGGGGGATGGTGGAAGGCCAGTGCGGGGGATGGTGGAAGGCCGGTGGGGGGGGAGGGTGGAAGGCCGGTAGGGGGATGGTGGAAGGCCAGTGCGGGGGATGGTGGAAGGCTGGTGGGGGGGGAGGGTGGAAGGCCGGTTGTGGGGGAGGGAGGAAGGCCGGTGGTGGGGGAGGGAGGAAGGTCGGTGGAGGGGAGGGTGGAAGGTCGGTGGGGGGGAGGGTGGAAGGTCGGTTGGGGGAGGGTGGAAGGCCGGTAGGGGGGATGGTGGAAGGCCGGTAGGGGGGATGGTGGAAGGCCAGTGCGGGGGATGGTGGAAGGCCGGTGGGGGGGGAGGGAGGAAGGTCGGTGGGGGGGAGGGTGGAAGGTCGGTTGGGGGAGGGAGGAAGGCCGGTGGTGGGGGAGGGAGGAAGGTCATTGGGGGGGAGGGTGGAAGGTCATTGGGGGGAGGGTGGAAGGTCGGTGGGGGAAAGGTGGAAGGTCGGTGGGGGGGAGGGTGGAAGGTCGGTGGGGGGGAGGGTGGAAGGTCGGTGGAGGGGAGGGTGGAAGGTCGGTGGGGGGGAGGGTGGAAGGTCGGTTGGGGGAGGGTGGAAGGCCGGTAGGGGGGATGGTGGAAGGCCAGTGCGGGGGATGGTGGAAGGCCGGTGGGGGGGGAGGGTGGAAGGCCGGTTGTGGGGGAGGGTGGAAGGTCGGTGGAGGGGAGGGTGGAAGGCCGGTTGTGGGGGAGGGAGGAAGGCCGGTAGGGGGGAGGGTGGAAGGTCGGTGGAGGGGAGGGTGGAAGGCCGGTGGGGGGGAGGGTGGAAGGCCGGTAGGGGGGATGGTGGAAGGCCAGTGCGGGGGATGGTGGAAGGCCGGTGGGGGGGGAGGGTGGAAGGCCGGTTGTGGGGGAGGGAGGAAGGCCGGTGGTGGGGAGGGTGGAAGGTCGGTGGAGGGGAGGGTGGCGTGCTGGCGGAGCAGGAGGAGGCTGGAGTGGAGTGAGTGAAGGGAGCCATGGCTGGTGAGGGTTCCTCAAGCTGTGTGGACTCAAGCCACGATGCTTGACATGGGCCCCTCGTTTGGAGCCTCCACCGTGCAGGTCACAGGGGGCTCTAGAGGCTGACTCCTCCCCATCCCGGGTTCACTTGCTGCTTCGCCCACCTGCGGCTCTACACTGCAATTATTTTTTCCTCCCTGACTTCACAAGTGGGGTTTAGGCCCCAACTGCTGTGGTTTACGCCTTTGGAACTCAGGGCTATTTTATGTCAAGTTCAGGCCGAGGCTGTGGCTGGGATTTGGGATCTGGAGGGTGGCTGTGTCCTATGGCTCTGCTCTCTGAAACTGAGGACCCCACCCTCAGTTGGGTCCCAGCCTGCCTGCCCTCCCAGAGCTGGCCCTCCTGCCTGCTCCTTGGGGTAGGGACCCCCTGGGTTTCAGAGTCATCCCTCAGGCCGAGGCCGCAGAGCGGTGCCAGGCAATAGCTGTGGGGGCTGCAGCGGCTTCTGACAACACTAGTGAATGGGGACAGAGCCTCCTCATGCTTCCACCCGTGCTCACACAGCTGGGGGCATGAATGCCCACACTTTACAGATGAGGGAACTGAGTCTGGGGACAGCGATCACTTGGGAAGTTCATGGAGACCCTGGGGGCAGCTGTCAGACTGGAAGCCAGGCTCCTGCTGGCTCTCTTGCCCGTGGCCTGTCTGTCCCAGCCTCCAGGCGCAGGGCTGGGGGGAAGCTGTCAGGCTGCCAGCATCCCAGGAGGGGTGACGAAGCTGCGATGGGATCTGCCTCCCGTCCTGGGCCTGTAATTGCTGGGAGCTGGCCGGCCCAGCACAGGATGGCTATTGCAGGCCTGGCGGAGTGTCCTGCTCCTCTCTGTGTTACTTTTTCCATTGCCATGGAAACAATTTCAGTCCCTCCTTTGGGGCTGGGGCCAGCCTCCCCAGGCCTCCAACGTCTGAGCTGGCCCCGGAAACTCTGACCCAGCCTGGGCCACCGGTCAGCGTGCTGCCATCACATCTTCAGCCCTTGGCGCTGCGTCTAGGGGTGACCTCAGGGCAGGCCCCGGCCAAGCACTGGGCCCTGGGCAGAGGTCTGAGTCTGGCTGCCTGGTCCTGAACCTCCTGCCAGGGCCTGTGGTGGTCATCACCTTCACCTTCAGCTACACAGTGCAGAACACCTGGCCTCGAGTATCCGCCCAGCCCGGGCTCCCATCTCAGGCTTTGTCCAGGTTCTTGGAGATACTCAACCAGTTTGTTGAATCCCTGTGAAGTCCCGTAAAGGCGACCTGGAACAAACAGCGTCAGCCAGGGCCTCGCTGTGACTGTGTCCCCATCCTCTGGTCCTCCCTGGCTCCAATCAGCTCACAGGGAAGGCACCCTCACCTGGGACGGAGCCGAGAGAAAGGCAGCCCTGGCTCAGCCTGGCCCTCCGACCCTGAGCAGGCATGAGCCAGGCCCCTCCTCTGGGCGTGGGAACAGGGAAGTGGGGGGATGGGCCCCATGCCCGCCTGACGCAGGTCTGTGAGCCTTTCTTTGCACCAACATGGGCCTGGCCTCCCGTTTGCTCTCTGGTGCCCACGCTATATGTTCTAATCCTTGGGCTGTTGGAGAAAGAAGGTCTGATGCCCAGCACTCAGCCCACATTAGGGCCCAGGAAGCTGGGAAGAGGACTGGAAGGGGACATCCACCCAGGCCTGGCCAGCCAGAACCCAGGGAGAATCAGCAAGGTAGGAAACCATACCTTGGAACCCTGCCTCCACCATCTCTGTGACTTTCCAGGACCTCAGACCCTCCTGGCCTCCACCGAGGGCCAATGTGGAGGAGTCAGCCTCCCACCGGGACACACAGGGCCACTCAGATGGCGCAGATGGAGGGCGTTGAGTGAGGCATGACTCACAGTGCTGCAGGCAGGAGGAGGCAACCCGCAGGCAGGGGGTCGGGGAGTTACCATCAGGGGCTGGAGACAGCAGAGCCGTGGCCACCTTAGGCAGCAGGGCCAAGAAAGGAAGCAGTGTTGACCAAGCATCTTTTTTTTTCTTTTTTTTGAGATGGAGTCTCGCTCTGTCGCCCAGGCTGGAGTGCAATGGCGCGATCTCGGCTCACTGCAAGCTCCGCCTCCTGGGTTCATGCCATTCTCCTGCCTCAGCCTCCCGAATAGCTGGGACTACAGGCACCCGCCACCACGCCCGGCTAATTTTTTGTATTTTTAGTAGAGACGGGGTTTCACCATGTTAGCCAGGATGGTCTCGATCTCCTGACCTCGTGATCTGCCCGCCTCGGCCTCCCAAAGTGCTGGGATTACAGGCATGAGCCACCACGCCCGGCCGGCCAAGCATCTTTTAATGAAATATACTAAACACACTTCCATCAGGTTTGTATAGATGGTCTCTGAGGTGCAGAGCAGAGAAGCAGCCAGCGTGTGTGTGTGTGTGTGTGTGTGTGTGTGTGTGTGTGTGTGTGTCTGGGCAGTGTGGATGGTGTGAATGAGTGGGTGACAGTGTGCCCACCTGGAATACCTTCCCCCACCGCCACTTCTTCCACTTGGCCTTGAAACCTCCCTTTCCCCGTCCCACTCCCACAGCTGAGCGGCCTCCTCCTGCTGTCCCCTTTGTGTGGGATTTCGGGGCAGGCGCCCGATCCCAATTCCACAGTGCCTTCCGTGAACACTGCACACAGCAGCTCATCTGTAAGTATCTGTGGAGTAGATGATTTAATCAATCCATGAATTAGTAATTGCAGCAAAGTGGACAAGGTGTCAGTTGGATATGTAAGGGAGAAAAGGAAAGGAAAAAAGACAAAAGCACATGAGAGAAATACGAAGGCACTGGAGGGCGGGGCGGGTGGAGCGGGAGCAAGGTGTTCCATAGCACTCGGAAGATGCCACGAGGGGCCCCTCACGCAGACGGAGGGGCGGGCGGTTGCAGCTCCCTGTGCTGACAGCCGCACGTCACTCGGCTCGAGTGAGCTGCTCCCTCTGCGTGGAATATCCGATATCCTGCCCCGGTTGACCTTCCGATTTCTCCCTCAAGATCAAGTCAAATGCCTTTCCTCTGTAAAACACTATCCCTGCATGCATCCCTCCCCTCCCACCTGACCCCAGCCACGATAGAATTACCTTTCCCCCTGGCCAAGTGGGAGGAATGTGGCAATTCTTACATCCTTTCAGTAAAGCCTTTACCCTAATCCATCCCAGCTGTCAATGTTTCATCCCATGTCTTCCTCAAGGACAAGGGCATTATCCAATTCTTCTTGTAGATACTCAACAAGTTGGTTGAATCCATTTGAAGTTTGGCTATTTAGTCTCAGGTATTCCAGAAATGTGGCCAGTGAGAGTCGTGCCCCAGGAGTGTAATATATTTGACGTTTACTTTCAAAGGTTTAAGACGTAAGACCTGTAAAGGCAGGGAACTGGCTTAGCACAGCTCAGAGGACTCTGTCCAGCATTAGACCAGGGCGCTTCACAGGAAAGAATTATTGTTCAATAGTGGCAACTTCTCGAACTGTTAAATTGGGCCTGCTGAAAGCCTAAGGCTACTCATGTCAGCTTTACTTTCTTCTTCTTTCATTCCCCTGCTTTAAAAGAGTCATCCATCGTGGTTTAATTCAAGACAGTCTCCAACCTTCAATCAGCGCAGTTCCACCCGTGTTTACTGAGCCTGTGCCCTCATCAGGCCTCTGTGGGGTGCTGGGCTCAGGTGGGGGAGGCAGGGAACTGTGGGATGAGGGCATGTTGGGTGTGCTCAGTGGTGGGTTCAGCCCCACAAAGGCCAGGGGGCTTGGGCCAAGCTTGGGAGGCTGGGGATGGACACTGGCCGAAGGCGGCAGCTCCGGGTATGTGGTGTGCAGTGGAGCTCCGAGCTCTCTGAACTCCAGGCTCCTGCTGGCTGGTTGAGATGGCTGTTCTCTTCTCTCTGCCTTGATGTAAAGTGGGGCTAATAACAGAACCGCCCCATGGGGTTATGGTGAGGCCTTGGCGAGACAGTGAATGTGGTGGAGTGCTTAGCCCAGGCCTGGCCCCAGGCGGGGCTCAGGACACAGGGCTGTGCTTATTATGAAGTGGTCTGGGATGACATCACCGTGGAGGGGGAGCCATGGGTAGCCCATGGGGCAGGACCAGGGCCGAGGCACAGGCTCAGCCTGACTCTCTGACCCTAGAGCTCTGCTCGGTACCATCACCTCCCACTGTCATGCTGCCCTCCCACCCACAAGCCCAGCCCTGCTGCCTGGGCGAGCCTGGGGGTCCAGGCTGCAGCCCCAAGGTGAAGGGCAGTCTGTGGCATGCTCATCCTCTGGGTTCTCTGGTGTTCAGGCTTCAGCAGAGGCTGTGAGGGAATCCAGAAGCCTTCAGGGAGGGTGAGAAAGAGGCCAGGAGCTGGAGGAATTTCCCCAGCCAGGCGCAGTGTCTGCCAGTGGTGTGGCGAGGAGCACAGCCAAGACTTGCCCCAGTGTGGGAGCCATCTGGAGCCCAGGGCTCTGCCTCATTGTTGGCTACATCTGCTTGCAGACACTGCCCATCTCTCCCTTTCCAGGAGTCCATGCAGAGCTTGGACCCAGCCCGGGGCCCCGCCATCATCTGATGCTTCAAGGTCCCCAGATCCCTGAGTGTGGAGCTGTGGCCAGGTGGCCTGGCCGAGACCAAAGCTAGCCTTTGACAGTGCTGCTGCAGTCTGCACGGGGGCTTTAGGGTCCCTGGCCTGCCCGTGATGGGCCTCTGAGAGAAGCTCTCGGTGATGGAGCAGCTTTTACAAATGGAAGCACTAATTAAGACGTTTGAATGTCTTCCATATTCCTAATTCTTTGTTCTTCTCCTTTATGTAATAGAGATGATCCTGCCTAGCTCATTACCAGCTGGTTTAGTAAACATCTAGAGACTACAAGGATATTTTATTTTAATTGCCTGAGCCTCAGGATTATGGAAACAAGATGGTAGGGGGAAGGGCTGAGGAGTGAGACTGGGAAGAAAACGCTTGACCCGAAGTTCTCATCTGGAAGAGTGAGGCCTGGCTGCTTTGGCTGTTGGAGCAGGTTTAGCGCTTTTGACCCAGGCCCAGGAAAGAGTGAGAGGCACCTGGAGGAGCCTGTGCCTCTGCCGGCTGATGAGAGGGCAGGTCCTGGGCCAGTCAATGAAACACATTTCTCCTTCATAAACGTGGCAAACAGCATAAAAATATGTCTTATTTTCTAAGTTGCATGAATCAAAAGCTGGCAAGGGGCCCGAGAGGCAAGAGCTGTTTGCTCTGCAGCAGACGTGTGCATGGTGTCCTGAGGCCTGGCTCCGGGTTCTTCCCATGGGAACACTGCTTCCCAGACCAGGGCTCCAAGCTAGCCTGGGAGGGCGGGGGACAGGTGGAGGGCTGGCCTGAGGGCCGGTGGGAGAAGAGCAGGGTGCAGGAGCTAAGTGGGGGGTTACCAACAGGGAGGAGCTACATGTGAGGGGCCACTGGCAGGCCAGGCACCAGATCAGCTGCAGTGGCCCTGCAGTGAGGCCCGTGAGTATCCCCTGGCCAGCAGAGAAGCTGATTAGCGGTGTCCTCCGGGGCCCAGGACTCGCTGCACAAATGGACCTGAGGGCCCCAGCTTTACCAGCAACAGCTGAGGGTAGCATACAGGGGCCCAGTAAGAAGCTGGAGACTGAAGCTCCCCCGGGGCCTCCTGGTGGGCTGCTCCCAGGCCTGTTGCTGGGGCCGGAGGAACAGCGCCTGCCAACAGCCTGCTCTGCTGACACCTACAGCGGTGTGCTGAGGGACCTGTCCAGCTTCCCCAGGTCCAGCAGCAGCAGCAGGTCCACATCCTGTGGTCTGGCTTTTGGAAGGTTTTGACACCTCTGCAAACAAGCCTGGTGTGTTGTTCTAAAAGTGGGTTCCCCAGGACTGTCACTGCCCCGCGGGGGAGGGGGAACAGCATCTCCTGGAATCGCCATCCTGCCTGCTGCCATCACTCCCTGGGGATACCCTCGGACCTCGTAGCCTTTGCATCCCATCTTGCAGCTGTAGCTGGCAGGGCTGGTGAGGGCTGGTCAGATAGCCTGGGGGGTGGGGGCGAGGCTGGGAGCCAGGGCTGAGGAAGCGGGTCAGAGAGGATGCTACCCACGTGGGAGAGGCCGGATGTACCTCCTCATGGTCATGTCACTGTCCTGAGCCACGCAAATCATGCCCCTGTCCCTGCCCTGCCACAGGTGGCATTCTCTGGGCTTACCTGAAAGAGTCCCTGCCTGACCTTATTAAAACCGGGATCCACCATAAATGCCAGTTCTCCATCCTTGACCCACAGCATGTGCATTTATGGCCGAGAAAAACTCACTAGGGCCAGAGCACTTCCCAGCTAGGGAAGCGCTGGCTCATTAGGGAGGCCGAGCTGGTCCTGGCGGTTCTAGTGAGCTGTGAAAACCACTCGGGAATGGGAGAATTAGCAGAGAAGGTGTCTTCGAATTCCCAGAGGAGCTTCTTCTGTCTAATTTTGGAGTGTGCAGGCCCAGGTGTTTCATGGGAAGGGGCTAACAAACTGGATCTTATGTTTTGAGAATCTAAACAGAGTGTAGGGGATAAATCCCCCACAGAGGAGCTGTCACTGACCTAGGTCTCCCCAGCTTTTGGTTGGGGAAGGTGAGGTGGGCTGGGTGGGGCCAGGCTGGAGTCTGCTAGGTCCTCAGAACATGTGGAACGTGGGTGTGGGCACAGACAGTGGCTGCCAGGAGTCCAGACAGAGCCTGTCTAGGACTCTGGCCTGTTCCCAGGTCAAGGAGGCAGGTCCAGCAGGGAGAGAGGCCCAGATGGAGGGATGGGAGGCCCCTGTCAGTTTATTCTCAGGCACCTACCCCAGTGGCTCAAGTGGGGGAGATGAGCCAGTGACAGGAGGGCCTAGTGCAGCCAGGCCAGGGGCTCCCACAGTGTCAGCAGGGTCTTGTCCTTCGGTCCTTCTCACCCTGCTCCCCACACAAGACCTCAGGAGCTCCAGGCTCCTGCTGGCTCATTCACCCCAGTGGGTTGGGGGACAGAGTCTTTTGCCCAAAACTTCCAGGCAGCGTCCCAGCCCTGATCATTCTCAGAAGGAAGTCAAGGGGCTACAGACACCAGTAGACCTACAGAAAGGGACCCTTGAGCAGAAACACATAACACTCCAGGGCACCTGGTCTCCTCACCAAAGACTCACCACTGGGGGCACCAAGGCAGGCAAGGAGAGAGCCCCAATTCATGCAGGAAGGCAGCCAGTTTCCTCTGCTGGCCCTCCAGGGCAGTGGTGTGTGCCCTTGACCTAGGCCAGCAAGACCAGGTGTCCACGGAACAAGTGGCCTGAAGGCCCTGTGCTCCCCGCTGTGTGTGGCGTGACCAGCAGAGGCCAGCAGGGCTCCAGCTCAGTGGATATGTCTGTGCTGTCATCTCTCAGCTCACAGATCCCAGAGCTTCTCTTTCTGGATCTGTCATTCTCTCTGCGCCCCTGCTCCAGCACTCTGTTGCTTTTCTTTCTACCTGGTTGACTGCCCCTTCTCTGTCTCTCCCTCCTTTATACAATCATTAAACTCAGCCCCTGTCCTCAGCTCTTGTTCCTGCTCACTTTAAACCATCTCCAGGCAAAGCTGTGTGGGCTGATGATTCCCAACTTAGGAACTCCATCCTTGAGCTTGGACAGGCCACTTACCATTCCAGCTACTCTAAAGCTTGAACTCACTCTCCCCCATCCATCTGCTCCTCCTCCAGTCTTCCCCATGGGAGCATATCCTCCCCTCGCTCCATCTCAGGACTGGGAACAAGATCTGCACCAGCCACCCCTGGAGCTGGTGGAGGGCTTTGCACAGGCATGGCCCAAAGCAGACCCACCGTGGGATGGAGCTTTCCAGGGGCTACCCCCTTCTAGCTCCCATTATCAGTCCCACAATCTCCAACAGGCCCAGGGGAGGGAGATTCTGAGGGCCGGCCACTGGAACAGGAAACCTGTGCAAAGAGTTTGGGACTTCTTGATGCCCAAGCAATGAAATGCTGATTTGGAGGCACTGGCTCTTGTCACAGAAGCTGAGAGGTAGGTCAGGAAGTCACCCTAGGTACCTCTCCTTCACTGTCCACACCCAAACAATCCCCAAGTCCTATTTATTTGACCTCCAGAGGAGTCTCAAATCCATGCTTTCTCTTCCTCCCCACTACAACCTCCTGGCCAAGTCATCATTCTCTCCCATCTGGACTCTGAGTTCCCTCACTGTCTCCCCAAGTCTTCTTCAGCCTGTTCTCCACTCAACATCAAGCACAGTCCCTGGCACCTAGTAGGGGCTCAGCTTACACTCATGCCGTGGACGGACGTGGCTGCTTTTACCTTCCAGCAGGCCTTGGTGCAGGAGCTTTGCTTCTCAGGGTGTATGTCATACCCCTGGATGGTGGGGATTGTTGCTGCTATTTTTGGCTTGCTGGGAAGAAAAATAACAACTTGTCCTCATTATTAAAACTGGAGGAGAAATA
Organism: Homo sapiens; assembly: GCF_000001405.40. NCBI lineage: Eukaryota > Metazoa > Chordata > Mammalia > Primates > Hominidae > Homo > Homo sapiens. The sequence goes on along the minus strand of NC_000005.10, from coordinate 179,403,382 downwards.
CTACTTCACCAGAGTAGGTAGGAATCACAGTGAGAACACCTGGTGTTTTGGCCACAGGTCCACTTAGTAGATGGTCTCTGGTTGGAATTATCATTGCTCATGTCCTACCCTGTGGGAAAAAAAAAACATTTTATTTTGAAATAATTGTACACTTGTAGGAAGTTGCAAAAATTGTACAGAGTCCCTTGTAAGCTTCCCTCAGCTAATCTTAATGCTGACATCTTATATAACCACAGCACAAGATCAAAACCAGGGAATTGACATTGATATTACAATGCTACTAGACTCTAGACCTTATTCAGTTCTCATTATTGTTGAGATGGTAATCATTCCTCTCTCTCTCTCCGTTTCTATGCAATTTCATCCCGTGTATAAATTTTGATAACCACCACCACAGTCAAGACACAGAACTGTTCATCATCACAAATGCACACCCTTGCACTACCTCTTCGTATTTGGTATTTGCAACCTCCCCCTCCCTGTCCCTGTCTTCTAGCAACTACTAATCTGTTCTCCATCTCTATCATTTTGTCATTATGAGAATGTTGTACAAATGGAATCACACACTGCATCATCTTTCAAGGTTGACTTTTCACTCAGTGTTTGTTCTCTTGAGATCCATGTAACAATAGTTTGTTCCTTTTTACTGCTGAGTAGTGTTCCATTATATGCACGTACCAGAGTTTCTGCAAATATGGTGAATAAAAATTCTATCGATAGTCACGTATAGGTTTTTGCACAAACATCAGTTTTCATTTCTCTGAATAAATGCCCAAGAGTGTGAGGGCTGGGTATTATGATGCGTGCTTAGCTTTGTGAGACACTGACAATTTTACATTCTCACTAGCAATGGATAAGAGAACCACTTTCTGTGGATTCTTGTTAGCATTTTTTTTTAACCATAGTTGTTTTCATAGGTGTGTAGTGATATTTCCTTCTGCTTTTCATTTGCATTTCCCTAATGGTCAATGATGAGGAACATGTTTCTGCGTGCTTTTGTTTTTTTTTTTTTTGAGACAGAGTTTCGCTCTGTCACCCAGGCTGGAGTGCAGTGGTGCCATCTGCAAGCTCCGCCTCCCGGGTTCACGCCATTCTCCTGCCTCAGCCTCCTGAGTAGCTAGGACTACAGGCGCCCACCACCACACCCAGCTAATTTTTTGTATTTTTAGTAGAGATGGGGTTTCACCGTGTTAGCCAGGATGGTCTTGATCTCCTGACCTCGTGATCCGCCTGCCTCGGCCTCCCAAAGTGCTGGGATTACAGGCTTGAGCCACTGCGCCCAGCCTCTGCATGCTTTTTGGCTATCTCCGTCTTCTCCTTGGTGAAATATCTGCTCATGTCTTTGCCCATTTTGTAACTGAGTTGTTTGTTTTTTTACTGTTGAGTTTTTTATGATGGTAGTAAAAAACATAAGAGCCAATAAACTTTGCTTTTTTCTTTTGGTGTTTTTCACAGTAATAGAAGTGGATACACACCCAAAAGTCTGTGTGACATGCCCGTGTCAGGGATTAGCTAGGGTAACAACCTCCGATTCTCAGAGTTTAGACACAACAAATATTTATTTCTTGCTCACAGAAATCCAGAAGTAGGTTGGGTGTCTCGTCTCCTCACAGCTTTTGCCAAGCAGTGACTGTGGAATCTGGGCCTGTTCCATGCTGAGGCTCCACCACCTGGATATCCAGCCACCCGGCTTCCAAAGTGGTAGTGGAAGAGGAAGAGAGCTGGGAAGTGCATGGAAGTTTGTTTTTATGGCCTATTCTAGAGGTGGTGTACATTCTTTTCACAACATCTTATTGGCCAGGATTTAGTCACATGGTCCCCACACAACTTTAAGGAGGCTGGGAATGTTGCCCTCCTGGGTATCCAGGAAGAGGGGTTAGATGGGGTGAACATTACCTGTATTAGTCCGTTCTCATGCTGCTATAAAGAACAGGCTGAGACTGAGTAATTTATAAAAGAAAGAGGTTTAATTGACTCACAGTTCTGCATGTCTGGGGAGCCCTCAGGAAACTTACATTCATGTTGGAAGGACAAGTAAACATGTCCTTCTTCACATGGTGGCAGGAGAGAGAAGTGCCAGCAGGAGAAATGCCAGATGCTTATAAAACCATCAGATTTCATGAGAACTCATTCACTATCATGAGAACAGCATGGGGAAAGCTGCCCCCATGATTCAATTACCCCACTCCATGTCCCTCCCACAACATGTGGGTATTATGGGAACTACAATTCAAGATGAAATGTGAGTAGGGATGCAGCCAAACATATCATTCTGCCCATGGACCCTCCCAAATCTCATGTCCTCACATTTTAAAACACAACCATGCCTTCCCAACAGTCCCTCAAAGTCTTAACTTATTCCAGCATTAACCCAAAAGTCCAAGTCCAAAGTTTCATCTGAGACAAGGCAAGTGCCTTCCACCTATTAGCCTGTAAAATCAAAAGCAAGTTAGTTTCTTCCTAGACACAATGCAGGTACAGGCATTGGGTAAATACACCCATCCCAAATGGGAGAAACTGGGTAAAACAAAGGGCCCTATGCATGTCCAAAATCCAACAAGGCAGTAACTAAATCTTAAAGCTCCAAAATAATTTCCTTTGACTCCATGTCTCACATCCAGGTCACAATGTTGCAAGACGTTAAGTTCCCATGGCCTTGGGCAGCTCCACCCCTGTGGTTTTGCAGCGTATAGCCCCTCTCCTGGCTGCTTTCACAAGCCAGTGTTGAGTGTCTGTGGCTTTTCCAGGTGCACAGTGCAAGCTGTTGGTGGATCTACCATTCTGGGATCTGGAGGACAATGATTCTCTTCTCACAGCTCAACTAGGCAGTGCCCCAGTGGGGACTCTGTGTGGGGGCTCTGACCCCACATTTCCCTTCCACACTACCTTAGGAGAGGTTCTTCACAAGGGCTCCACCCTGGCAACAAACTTCTGCATTGACATCCAGGCATTTCCATACATCCTCTGAAATCTAGGTGGAGGTTCCCAAACCTAAATTCTTGACTTCTGTGCACCCAGAAGCCCAATCCTATAAGTAAGCCACCAAGATTTGGGGCTTTCACCCTCTGAAGCAATGGCCTGAGCTTCACATGTTGGCCCCATTAACCACAGCTGGGACACAGGGTACCAGGTCCTGAGACTGCACAAAGCAGTAAGCCCTTGGGCACAACCCACAAAACCATTTTTTCCTCCTAGGCCTCCTGGCCTGTGATGGAAAGGTCTGCCGTGAAGTCCTCTGACGTGCCCTGGAGACATTTTCCCCAGTGTCTTGGCGATTAACATTTGACTCCTCATTACTTATGCAAATTTCTGCCACTGGCTTGAATTTCTCCTCAGAAAATGGGTTTTTCTTTTCTATCACATTGTCAGACTGCAAATTTTCCAAACTTTTATGCTCTGCTTCCCTTTTAAACATAAGTTCCAATTCCAAACCATCTCTTTGTGAATGTGTAAAACTGAACACTTTTAAGAGAACCCAGATCACCTCTTGAATGCTTTGCTGCTTAGAAATTTCTTCCGCCAGATACTCTAAATCATCTCTCTCAAGTTCAAAGTTCCACAGATCTCTAGGGCAGGGGCAAAACACCACGATTCTCTTTGCTAAAAGCATAGTAAGAGTTACCTTTATTCCAGTTCCCAACAAATTTCTAATCTCCACCTGAGACCACTTCAGCCTGGACTTCATTTTCTATACCACTATCAGCATTTTGGTCAAAGCCACTCAACAAGTCTCTAGGAAGTTCCACACTTTCCCATATCTTTCTGTCTTCTTCTGAGCCCTCCAAACTGTTCCAACCTCTGCCTGTTACCCAGTTCCAAAGTCAATGCCACATTTTCGGGTATCTTTTCAGCTGCACCCCACTCCCAGTACCAATTTACTGTATTAGTTTGTTCTCACGCTGCTATAAAGAACTGCCCAAGACTGGGTAATTTATAAAGGAAAGAGGTTTAATTGACTCACAGTTCTGCATGGCTGGGGAGGCCTCTGGAAACTTACAATCATGGTATAAAGGGAGGCAAACAGGTCCTTCTTTACATGGTGGCAGGAGAGAGAAGTGCCAGCAGGGGAAATATCAGATGCTTATAAAATCATCAGATATCATGAGAACTCACTCACTATCATGAGAACGGCACAGGGAAAACCACCCCCATGATTCAATTACCTGTGACCATGTCCCTCCCACAACACGTGGGGATTATGGGAACTATAATTCAAGATGAGATTTGGGTGGGGACACAGCCAAACCATATCAGGCCCCATTTCTGTCACTACAGCAGCATAAGATGGAGCTGCATGGAGCATGCCTTGTTTGTTCAGATGATGCTTGACTCACAAGCCTGGGAGCCTGAGGTACCAAGCCTGAGGCTGAGGGGGGGTCACCCTATTGCATCTGTGGCAGGCCACACCAGTCACCTTCATTTGGACCAAATAAGGAGTTGGAGCAGATGGTAATTGGTGTCTCCCTCCATTCCCTTCCCTTCCCTTCTTCCTTCCTTCTGTCATTCCCTCTCTCTGTCTTTCTCTTTCTTTTTTTCTTTATCCCTGCACCCCAATAAAGAACCTTAAAAATGAAAGTGTCTGTCCTAAGAGCACATAATGCAACTGGCCCACATGTACATGGTCAGAAGGATTGGGGGACTGACCTTCACCCCATTTGATTCTCTAGCTCAGTTTGCAAACTGGTAGTGTGTGAGTCACATTCAGTCAACAAACATGCTTTATTTGGCCTATATGATTTTTTTTTTTTTTTTTTTTTGAGACAGAGTCTCGCTCTGTCCCCCAGGCTGGAGTGCAGTGGTGTGATCTCGGCTCACTGCAAGCTCTGCTTCCTGGTTCACGCCATTCTCCTGCCTCAGCCTCTTGAGTAGCCGGGACTACAGGTGCCCGCCACCATGCCTGGCTAAGTTTTTAGTAGAAACGGGGTTTCACTGTGTTAACCAGGATGGTCTCAATCTCCTGACCTTGTGATCTGCCTGCCTCGGCCTCCCAAAGTGCTGGGATTACAGGCATGAGCCACCACTCCTGGCCTTTTTTTTTTTTTTGAGACAGAGTCTCACTGTGTTGCCCAGGCTGGAGTGCAGTGGCACCATCTTGGCTCACTGCAAGCTCCACCTCCCAGGTTCAAGCCATTCTCCTGCCTTAGCCTCCCGAGTTGCTGGGACTACAGGCACCCGCCACCATGCCTGGCTAGGTTTTTTTTTTTTTTTTTTGTATTTTTAGTACAGACAGGGTTTCACCATGTTAGCCAGGATGGTATCTATCTCCTGACCTTGTGATCCGCCCACCTCGGCCTCCCAAAGTGCTGGGATTACAGGCGTAAGCCACTGCACCTGGCCTATGATGTTTTTAAAAATCAAGTATATTAGGATATAGTTTACATGTAATAAAATGCATTGATTTTTAAGTGCACAGTTCAGTGAGTTATTATATATGTATACACACACACACACACACACACACACACACACATATATATATATATATATAATTAGTCTGTTTTCATGCTGCTGATAAAGACATACCTGAGACTGGGAAGTAAAAGTTGTTTAATTGGACTTATAGTTCTACATGGCTGGGGAGGCCTCAGAATCATGGGGGGAGGTGAAAGGCACTTCTTACATCGTGGTGGCAAGAGAAAATGAGGAAGAAGCAAAAAGCAGAAACCCTTGATAAACCCAACAGATCTCATGAGGCTTATTCACTATCACAAGAATAGCACAGGAAAGACCAGCCCCCATGATTCACATACCTCCCCCTGGGTCCCTCGTACAATACGTGGGAATTCTGGGAGATACAATTCAAGTTGAAATTTGGGTGGGGACATAGCCAAACCATATATATATATATATATATATATATATATATATATATATATATATATATATATATATACACTATAAACATACACACTTATGTAACCACCACCTCAATCAAGATAAAGAAACCTCCCTCATCCAGGAAGCTACCTGTGCCACTTCCCAGTCTATTCTCCTCCCTGGCAGCAGAACTGATTCCTGGGACATCGACCACTCCAGCTCAGTGCCCCCTGACTCAGAACGTCATGGAAATGGACCCTAGAGTACTCTTTGTGCCTGGCTTCTGTCACTCAACATAATGTCTGTCATCTGGGTTGCATGCCACATTTTTTTATTGCTTATAATTATTCCTCTGTATAAAAATGCCACAATTTATCTGTTTAAATGATGACAGACATTTGTATTATTTCCAGTTTTTGGCTATTATGAATAAAGCTCATATGAAAATTCTTGTGCATGTATCTTTATGAACACATGCTTTCATTTTCCTTGGTTAAATACCTAGGGGTAGATTGCTGGCTCATAGAGGGGGTGTGTTCAATTTCTTAAGAAATTGTCAAACTGTTTCTTGAAATGTTTGCACCATTTTCCACTCCACGCATTGTATGACAGTATCAATTGCTGTATATCCTCTCCAATATTTGGTATTTTCAGTCTTTTAAATTTTAGCCATCCTGGTCGGTATGTGGTGATAATTCTTCATTGTTTTCACTTGAATTTCACTGATGAACATGTTGAACATCTTTTCATGTCCTTATTGGCCATTCATGTATCTTTTTTCATGGAATGTCGGTTCAAATATTTTGCCCATTAAAAAAAATTGAGTTGTTTGTCTTCTTACTGTTGAGTTGTGAAAGTTTTGTGTGTATTCTGGATGCAAGACCTTTCTCAGATATATGTATCGCAACTATCTTTCCTTTCATATTATTTTATTAATGATGACTTTTGGAAATCCTAAGTTTTTAATTTTTAGAAATCAATATCAGTTTAAAAAATTTTATGGTGGCAGAGTACTTTTTTGTATCTTAAGAAATCTTTAGTTATCCCAAAGCCATGAAGATTTCCACCTAAGTTTTCTTCTAGAGGTTTTGTAGTTTCACTTTTTTAATTGACAGAATTCAAAACAATAATTCAGTAAATTTTTCTCTAATGAGGAAAATGGAATTTTGGAGGAGGGATAACATTTTCACTTAACTGGGATGAAAGTTATGTTTCCCATCATCAAAATCTGTTGCAAGTGCTGCCAGTAATGATATTTTATGCATTTCATCTTTGAAAATGTCTTTCCACTGAGACAGGTACTGCTAAATCCTAATACCATCTATAAGCACAATAATTTTTCCCATTACTTTTTTTTTACTGAGATATAATTTACATAACATAAAGCTGATCATTTTAAAGTATACAAGTCAGTAGTTTTTCCTATATTCATTATGTTGTACAACCATCACCACTATCTAATTATGGAACACTTCCATCACCCCGAAAAGAAACCTTGTGCTTATTGGCAGTCATTCCCAATGTCCCTCTCTCCCACTCCTGGCAACCACTCATCTACTTTCTGTCCCTATGGAGCTGTCTATTCTGTAAATTTTATATAAATGGAATCATTCTATATGTGGCCTTTTATGTCTGGCTTCTTAACACATCTTCACAGTTTATCGTTCCAACATATAAAAGTTCTTCATTCATTTTTATGACAAAATAACATTCCATTGTGTGGATGTACCATGTATCATCATCAGTTGATGGCCATTTGGATTGTTTCTATTTTTTGACTATTATAAATAATGCTTCTCTGAAGTTTGTGTACAAGTTTTTGTTTGACATGTTTTCAGTTTTCTTTGGCATATTCCTAGGAATGAAATTGTTGGGTCATATGGCAACTCTATGTTTAACTGACAAGCCACCATATTGTTTTCCACAGTGGCTGCACCATTTTAAATTCCCACCAGCAAGGTCATGAGCGTCCCAATTTCTTCACGTCCTCACCAACTCTTTCTGTCTTTCCTTCCTTCCTTCACCCCTTCCTTCCTCCCTCCCTTTCTTTCTCTTGCTCTCTCTCTCTTAATTGTAGCCATTTTAGTGGCTGGGAAGTGGTATCTTGTGATTTTGATTTGCATTTTGCTAATAACTAATGACGTTGAACATCTTTTAATGTTCTTATTCATCATTTGTATATCTTTTTATAGCTTTAGTTTTGATGTTTATATTATTACAGTGTTTACATTTACATCTATTATTATTATTATTATTATTTTTGAAGCAGAGTCTTGCTCTGTCACCCAGGCTGGAGTGCAGTGGCGCTATCTCAGCTTGCTGCAAGCTCTGCCTCCTGGGTTCACGCCATTCTCCTGCCTCAGCTTCCCCAGTAGCTGGGACTACAGGTGCCCGCCACCACGCCCGGCTAAATTTTTGTATTTTTTTTTTTTTAGTAGAGACAGAGTTTCACCATGTTAGCCAGGATGATCTCGATCTCCTGACCTAATGATCCACCCACCTCGGCCTCCCAAAGTGCTAAGATTACAGGCATGAACCACCACGCCTGGCCTACATCTATTATTAATTTAATTAATTTTTGTGTGAGGTAAGAATTGCGTTTTACTTTTTCTCTCTACAGATGATCTAACATCATTTGTTTAAAAGATTACTCTTTTTCTGTGGTAGGAAAAATTCTGAGATGTCTCCTAGGATAGGCAGAGTAATGGCCCCACAAAGATGTCTACTTCTTAGTCCCTGGAACCTTGAATATCATGGTACATGTTAGAAACAAGTCAAGGTAGCAGACAGAACTAAGGTTGCTGCTCAGCTTGATACAGGGCAGATGAGCCCCCAGATTGGGGCTTAGCCTGGGAAGGTTCTTGGCTTCATCCAGGAAAGAATTCAAGGGTGAGCTGGTGCTGTTATACAGCAACTTTTATTGAAGTGGTAGTGTACAGCAGCAGCAGGGGCTTTGTTCCTTCAGAGTAGGGTTAACCCACAAGCAGTTTGCCCAGAGTAGCAGCTCAGGGGCAGTTCTGCAGTCATATTTATACCCAGTTTTAATTATACACAAATTAAGAGTTGGGTTATTTAGAAATTTCTTTAAAAAAAAGATGTGGTAACTTCCGGGAGTTGCCATGGTACTGGTAAACTGTCATGGTGCTGGTGGGAATGTTATGGAGAGGTGCTTTTGGGGCCTCTTCCCTGTTTCAGCCAGTCTTCTATCTGGTCTGGAGTCAGGTCCTGACTCCTACCTCAAGCTGACCTTAAGATAGGGATATTATCCTAGACTATCTGGGTGGGTTCAGTGTAATCACAAGGATCCTTAAACGTGGAAGAGAGAGACAAAAGAGAAGGTCAGATGATGTAATGTGCTAGGAATTTGGCCTACTGTTGCTGATTTTGAAAATGGAGGAAGGGGCCATGAGTCAAGGAAATCAGGCCGGCTCTAGAAGCTGGAATGGGAATTAAAGTCTTTTATCAGTTGACTTTGGGTTAATCAGAAGTAAGATTATCCTTTCTTGGCCTGACCTTAAAAGAAGTCAAAGAAATTCAAAGCGTGAGAGCTTGTCGTGGAGAAGGTCACATGGCAGGGAACAGGGAGCGGTCTCCAGGAACTGAGGGCTTCAATCCTATGACCAAAAGGAGCTTGCTTGGAAGAGGAATCCAAGTTCCATATGAGAGCACATGCAGGCTGACAGCTTGGTTTTAGCCTTTTGAGACCCTAAGCCGAGAACTCACTTACACAATGCAAAGACTTCTGACATATAGAAAAATGTGAAATATATAATTATATGTGAAATAATAAATCAGTGTTGTTTTATTCTGATAAATTTGTGCTAATGTGTTATGCAGCAATAGAGAAAGAATGCATTTTCCCCGTTAAATTGCCTTAGCACTTTTGTTGAAAATCAATTAAGGGTCTATGTTTGGGTCTATTTCTGGACTCTATTTTTTCCTGTTGATCTATGTGTCTATCTTTTTGCTACAATGATTCTAATTTGGATTACTATAGTGAGTCTTGAAAATTAGATACTGGGAGTCTTCCAACTTTGTTATTCTTTTTCAAGTTTGTTTTGCTATTTTAGGTCCTGTGCATTTGCATATCAATTTCAGAATTTTAGCTTTCTCTCTCGAAGCCAGCCACGATGTAGAAAGTCTGATGACTCTGAGACCACCATGCTATGAGGAAGCTCCCATGGGGAGATCATGTGGAGGAGCACTGAGGTACCAGACATGTGACTAATGCCTTCTTGGACTTTCCAGTTTGGCCCAGCTGCCAGTTGAAAGCAACAGAGTGAGTCATCCCAGACAACACCATTTAAAAAAGAACCACCCAGCTGAGGTCAGTTAACTTAGCAACAACAAAATAATTGTTAAGTTACTAAGCTTTGGGACTGGTTATGAAGCAATAGGATACTGAAAAGTAGGGCTATTCGTTTTTTCTATTTTTTCTTGAGTCACTTTTGGTAAGTTGTGTTTTTCAGGGAATTCGTCCATTTCATCTAAATTGTTGAGTTTATTGCCATAAAGTTGTTTATAATATTTAGTAGTTTTTCTTTTGGTATCTGTAGGATCTGTAGTGATAGCTTATCTTCCATTTCAGATATTTTGAGTATACATATATCAAAACATCATGTTGTACAACATAAATACAAAGAGTTTTTGTCATACAGAAAGTTATTTTGTAATTTGTGTTCTTTTTCTTGATCAGTCTTACTGGGATTTTTCAATTTGATTAATTTTTCAAAGAGGTATCTTTTGGCTTTGTTATTTTTATCTCTTATTGGTTTGTTTTATATTTCATTGATTTGGGCTCCTTATTATTTCTTTCCTTCTATTTACTGTGGGTTTAATATGTTCTTTCTTTTTAGATTGCTAACATGTACACTTAAACCATTAATTGTTAATTTTTACTTTTTCCCTATTATGAACATTTAGAGTTATATGTTTCTTTCTAGAAACTGATTTAACTGTATCCCATAAAATTTGATTTTTTTGGTTTTCATTATCATTCAGTTAAAATTTTTTCTAATTTCTCTGCTGATTTCTTGCCATATAAATTATTTAGAAGTATATTGTTTATTTTCCAAAACTTTGGAGGAATTTTCTAGATACATTATTGTTATTGATTTGTAACTTAATTTTGTTGTCACCAAGACACACTTTGTAAGATTTTGATGTTTTGAAATTTATTGAGACATTTTATGGTGCAGAATATGGTTAATTTTGGTGAACATTCCATCTGCACTTGAAAAAAATGTGTATTTTTGAAGTTGTATAGTAAGATATTCTGAAAATGTCAATTAGATCGTTTGTTGATAGTGTTGTTCCAATCTTTTATATCCTTACTGACTTTTTGTCTCTTTGTTCTATAATTACTGAGATAGAGGTGTTAAAATCTCCAGCTATGATTGGGGAATTGTCTATTTTTCTCTGTCTTTTAATCAACTTTTGCTTTATGAATTTTTAGACAATTATTAGGTGCAAAGTTAGGATTTTTATAACTTTCTGTTGAATTAACCATTTTGTCATTGTGAAGTGTCCATCTTTATTTGAAGAAATGCATTTTGTCTTGGTGCCTACTTTGCCTTCTTATAATATAACCACACCATGTTTCTTATTTTAACCATTTTCATGCTATATCTTTTTCCATCTGTTTACTTTCAACCTATCTGTGTCTTTATATTTTATACTCATATAGTCAGGCATTGCTTTAAAAAATCTATTCTGACAATCACTGACTTTTTATTAGTATTTAGCTCATTTATACTAAATTATTGGTGTAGCTGTTTTTAAGTCTAATATCTGCTACTTGTTTTATATTTGCCCTATGTGCTTTGTACTCCTCTTCCTCTTTTATAACCTTTTTTTGGGAATAACTGAATATCTTGTTGTATTCTTTTGGAAAATCTCTGTCATTGGCATTTTAGCTACTATTTTTTATTTTTGTATTTTAGTAGTTTAGAGATTACAATACGTGTCCTTATCACAGTCTACTTATAATTAATACTGTTTCATTTCACACATTACTATTCACACTTCATAAATCTAAGAAACTAATAAGAGTACAACTTCATTTTCTTCCCCATCCTTTGTACTATTGTCATAATTTTAATTTTATATATATATATATATATAATAAACCCCACCTTATAATGTTATTACATTTGCTTTAAACGGACATTTGTCTTTTAAGGTAATTAAGGAAAAAGCTAGTGTTTTAAATTTACATGTTTACTTTTTTTTTTAGCACTGCCATTTCTTCCTGTAAATCTGTTTCCTCTGGTGTCATTTCTCTTCAGCTTAAGAACTCTATTTAGAGTTTCTGGTGGTGAAAGTCTGCTGGCTTTTAATTCTTTCAATGTTTAATAATCTAAAATCTCTTCATTTCATCCTCACTTTTGAAGAACATTTTGATGGACATAACAGTCTTGGATTATAGTTCTTTTCTTTCTTCATCCATGTCATTCTGTGGTTGGTTGATTGTTTCTAATGAAAAGACAGCTGTCATTTGTGTCATTGTTCCCCTGCATTTATTTTGCCATTTTGCTCTGCCTGCTTTCAAAATTTTCTCTTTATTTTTGGTTTTCAGCAGTTCGACTATAATGTACTTATTTGTGGTTTTCATTGTATTTATCTGCTTGGGGGTTCATTTAGTTTCTTGGATTGGCAAGTTGATGCTTTTTGTTGTTGTCATTTGTTTTTACCACATTTGGAAAATTTTAAATCATTATTTCTTCAAAATATTTTTCCTTTCCATTCTCTCTCTTTGCTTTCTTGTGAGACTTGAATTACATTCATGTTAGACTGCTTAACATTGTCACACAGGTCATTGAGATTCTGTTCATGATTTAACAATTATTGTTTGGTCTCTTTTCTTCAGAGTGGAAATTTTTATAAATCTGTCTAGTTTATTGACTTTCTTCTGCCATCCTAAATTTGCTTTCAAGCAAGTAAAATTTTGATTTCTGATATTTTGTTTTCAGTTATAGAATTTTCACTTGTTTCCTTAACAGAACGTCTATTTCTCTGCTGAAATTTCACATCTGTTCACTCATAAAGATCATGTTTTCCTTTAAGTTCTTAAACATATTTTTAATATAGCTTTTAAAATCCTTGTCTGCTGATTCCAACATCTTGGTCATCTGAGGATCTTTTCTATCAAGTGCTTTTTTTATTTTAAAAAATTGTGCCATATTACTTGCTTATTTTTGTGTCTGGTAATTTTTTACTATATGCTGGTCATTGTAGATCATACACTTGAAGGAATCTGGATTATGTTTTCTTCCTTTAAAGAGTTTTGAGTTTTGTTCTGGCAGACAGTTAATTTACTGGTGGCTCTCCCTGATCGTATCAAGGCTTAGTTTTAGGCTTTGCTAGGGCCGGGTTGTGTTAGTTATCTATTGCTGTGTAACAAATTACCCCACAAAATAACACCTTAAAACAAAAGCATTTGTTGTTACATCATTTCCAAAGATCAGGAATCTGAGCGTGACTTAGCTCAATGGTTCTTGCTCAGAGTCTCTAAGGACGTTGCCATCCAGCTGTCGTTTGGAGGGTGCAGTCATCTAAGGCTCAATTATGGCTGCAGAGTGTGCTTGCAGACCTACTCATATGCTTGTTGGCAGGCCTCTGCTCATTGCTGACTGCTGGCTAGAAGCCTCTGCTCCTCCCACTTGGACCTCTCCATGGTAGGGAGGACTATACAAGGGTATGAACAAAAGGAGGTGAGCATTATTAGGGTTCATCTGGAAGGCTGGCTACCAGTTCCCACAGGGGTTTGGGGTAGCACTTACTCTAGGATGAGATTTCTTAACCTCAACACTATTGACATTTTGGGCTGGAAAATTCTTTGTGGTGGGGGGGCTGTCTTGTGCAATGTGGGATGGTTAGCCGTATGTCTGGTCCCTACCCACAAGATGGCAGGCAGTAGCACCTCCCCTGATGACAGTCAAAAATGTCTCCAGACATGGTCACAAGGGGAAAAAGCAGCCCACCCCCAAATCGAGAATGACTTCTCTAGGATGTGGGCCTTATTCATAAAATGTGGGTTATATAGCGGCTTGGCCGAATGTCTTAAAGATTGCTCTTCATTCCAGTTGGGCCAGAACCCCCATGTCTCCTAGCAGGGCATGAACTTTGGTATCTCAGTTCTGCCTCCAGCTGTGCATCATCTGCTCTCTGCTGGGTCTGTCAGTCTTCCCCTGCGCATGAGCCATCCAGCTCTCAGCCAGAAATCTGCAATCTCTCTCTACATAATTCCCTCCTCTGTGTCATCCACCTCTTTAAGTTTCAGGTGCTTCATCAGCCCAGAACTCTAACCTCTGCCTCAACTCAGTACCTGCATTCTCTCTGCTGGGCCTGCTGGGCTCGGCCTCCTTGCTGTGGTCAGGTGAGACTGTTCTAGGCTGGGAGTTTGGGTGTGCATGGGCTACCCAAATGTGCTTCCTTCTTTCAGGGGCTGGCTCTTGTCCAGTGCCTGATAACATTAGCTTTAAGTACTTTGCCCATTTTTAAAGCCATTGAAGGCAGAAGGACAAGGGTGGTGCCAATCACACCATCATGGCTGGAGAGAGAAATCCCCAACATCGTGTGTGTGTGTGTATGTGTGTGTGTGTGCGCGCGCGCATTTTAAAAGAACCAACTTTTTTTTTTTTTTTTTGAGATGGAGTCTCTCTCTGTCACACAGGCTGGACTGTAGTGGCTCGATCTTTGCTCACTGCAAGCTCCGCCTCCCGGGTTCACGTCATTCTCCTGCCTCAGCCTACCGAGTAGCTGGGACTACAGGTGCTTGCCACCATGCCCGGCTAATTTATTTTTGTATTTTTAGTAGAGATGGGGTTTCACCATGTTGGCTAGGATGGTCTCGATCTCCTGACCTTGTGATCCGCCTGCCTCAGCCTCCCAAAGTGCTGGGATTACAGGTGTGAGCCACCCCACCCGGCCAAGCCAACTTTTTTTAAAAAGGAAGATTTCGTTTAAAAGTTAGCCTCTCTGCCGCTCTCAAAAAATCCTGGCTGTCCCATGGGATTGCCCACCCCGTGGCAGCATGCGTCTGGCCTGACGGCTGCATTCACCTTCACACTTATGCTGCTATTCTCATTTCTACCTGACCAAGTCTCTCTACCCATGTCTGTTAGAATAATGCAAAGATATGTTGAGTGGGCAATAGATATGTTGAGTGGACAATAGATATGTTGAGTGGGCAATGTTATTTTCCTCACACGTGTCCCACCTCTAACCTCACTTGCTTCTGTCACCCACATTTGAGTTGGTGACCCCTTCTCCCCAGGCCTTGGGAGCACATGAAATCCTGGGAAGGATAACATCCTGGTGTCATCTGTCTTGTCCCTAAATACATTTTGGAGACTATTTGATTGAAGCCAGTGCATCTCTCACAGATTCACCAGGCTGGGGTTAACCACACGGCCATCACCAGGCAATTAAATAAACAGACTCGTCGAGGGGTTTGCTCTGATGTGGTTGTCTGAGCTCCATCAGAAGCTATTCATTTTCCTGAGGGCTCTGGCAGGACATCCTTTGGTAGCAAGCGACTGGAAGAAAACTCAAAGTGGCGCGAGACGGTGCTTCACACGTGTCAGGGTCATCATCTGGTTCCATTCCCACCCCGCCCTGTATGGTGCTCTGGAGAAGAAGGAGTAGCTCTACCCTAAACGGAGATCATGCGGCTTGTCCCGGGGCAGATGCTGTGCACAAAATCACACTGTCACCATTATTAGATCAGTAAAGGCAGGAGGAACCTGAAACTGGGCCTCTGGGGACTTGCAAATTCAAATCCCCAGAGGGGCCAGGAGTGAAACACGAATCAATCAGGTTAGATGCTGAACAAAAGGGAGTGGCGGGGTCTGTGGCCGCTGGAAAGCACATTCCCTGCTGAGGCAATCTGTTTCCAAAGGTTTAGACACCTGTGTTTACCTGTGGGTGGTCGTCAGCAGTGTCTCCTGGGGGATCAGTTACCTTGTCTGAGGCTGAGCACTGTGTCGGGGGGACTAGTTTCAGCAGCTCGGGATGTTTCCGGTGGATTTGGGAAGAGGGCGTGCCCCAGGGCAAAGAGCCCAAAGTGAGCCCCACAGTCTAGGCTTGATGGCCACTCTGAGCTGCCTCCAACCAAGTGGCCCTGCCCCTCACAGACCTTCTAGATCCAGCAGCCTGGGGACTGCTGTCTTCCAAGAGCTTTCCCCTTTGTCTATAGCTGGCCAGTGCTCAGTGAGGGCAGGGGCTGTGTGGGGAGGGAAGGGAAGCTCCGGGGCCAGCTCACAATTCTCCCTGCGCCAGCTCTTACCTGGGTTTCACTCTAGAGGACCTGATCCCACTCTCCCACCTGCAGGACACACTGAGGTTGCTGTTCTAGGTCCTGTAACAGTGTGGGGCTGGGGGAGAGGCAATGGCTCACCTGAGGCCATGGGGCTCACTGGACTCTGCCCCCTTGGCCACAACCAACAGGCCCTCTCCACCCTAGCAGCCACCTCCCCTCTGCATCAGGCAGAAATGCCCTCTCTTCCTGCAGTCTCATTTTAATTCTCCACACCCAAAGTCTTCTCCACTCCTGCACTGGGTCCCCAGCTAGGCTGAGGGTGGAGCTGGTGGCCCAGGCTGGTTCATTACCATCCTTACCTGACTGGTTACCTTACAGTGTCTACAGTTGGTTCCCTTAGATTTTTTTTTAGCTATTACTGAAAAAAAAGTGCACTCTTGGAAATTTAAATACATATATCTCAGCTTACTGCAACCTCCACCTCCTGAGTTCAAGCAATCCTCCCTGCCTCAGCCTCCCAAGTAGCTGGGATTACAGGCGCCTGCTATCATGCCTGGCTAATTTTTGTATTTTTAGTAGAGATGGGGTTTCACCATGTTGGCCAGGCTGGTCTTGAACTCCTGACCTGAGGTGATCTGCCCGCCTCGGCCTCCCAAAGTGCTGGGATTACACGCATGAGGCACTGTGCCTGGCCAATTTTAAAATATATTTTTAAGAATGCTGATATCAAGTATCTTCATAGATTGAGAAAACCACAGTTTGGTGCTTATATATGACTTTTAAAAACTCTCAGGAAACTAAGAGTAGACAGAAAGTTTCTTAACTTCATAATTGCTACACCCCAAAAGCCGACTGCACCAAGAATCCTGGCGAAGATGAATCTTCTCACTGTGAGCCCACATGGGCCCCACTACTAAGGGGGTGGACTAAGGCTCTGAGGGATGAAAGTGGCAGAAGACCCGTCAGGATCAGAAGGGAAAAGATAGGGCCTCATTCCTTGCAGATGATAACATCACATAAACCCATGGAATCAGCAGGCAAGATAACAGAACTAGCAGGGAGCTTAGGCAAGGCTGCTGGATATGTGGCCAACTCACCGGCCCACCAGCTTCTCTTTACACCCGTGACACAGCCAACTAAAACTAAGTCATGGTGTTTTCTGGACGGTGAACGCAGAGAGTGCTGGGAGGCAGCATGCCCGGGAGGAGAAGCAGGAGCTTCACCACGCCCAGCCCCGCCCTTGCTGTATTAGGCTGTTCTCTCTATTATTCATTCAATTTGGGCACTGGAAAGTACAGACATCTGGCTTCATAGTCTTGTAAGAGAATCAGTACTTACCATACTATTGCTCTTTCAAGTTTTGAAGTAACAGGAGAATTTCCCCTGGACTACAGATTTACACAGCTCTCTTCAAACAATCCACAAACAGCTGGTCTAAACCCTCCACTGGTCTTATCGATGATGAGACACTGGCAGCCAAATAAATTATCTTTACTGAAAAATGGAGTAAAGAAACATATATGGCAAATGTACCACAAAAATGTTAATATTTCAAAAATACTGTGAAGTGCTTCATAGGAACAAGTTATTAATGAAAAGTGACCAATACATTGAAAAAAAGGTCACCATTTGCAATGCTCGAAAACCTAAAACGCACCCTGGAATCCACATAACAAAGAACGCACGTGGTTTTTCTACAAAAATTGAACATTCCAGTAGAGAACATAGCTGGAGTCGTAGGCCGGGCGCGGTGGCTCACGCCTGTAATTCAAACACTTTGGGAGGCCGAGGCGGGCAGATCACGAGGTCAGGAGATTGAGACCATCCTGGCTAACACAGTGAAACCCCGTCTCTACTAAAAATACAAAAAATTAGCCGGGCGTGGTGGCAGGTGCCTATAGTCCCGGCTACTCGGGAGGCTGAGGCAGGAGAATGGCTGGAACCCGAGAGGCGGAGCTTGCAGTGAGCCGAGATCGTGCCACTGCACTCCAGCCAGGGCAACAGAACGAGACTCAGTCTCAAAAAAAAAAAAAAAAAAGAACACAGCTTGAGTCATTATTAAACGAAGAGATACTTTAATGTTACAGGTTCCCAACAGTACCAGATTCACCTATGCATTAAATGTAATCCTGATCAAAATTCCAGCTGGAATTGTCGAGGAGATGAATAAACTCACTGTGAATTTATGTGGAAGGATCAAGGTGTAAGACAAATGCTATAATCTGAATGTTTGTGTTCCCCCAGAATTCACATGCTACCACCTAGTCCCCGCTGTGATGGGATTAGGAAGTGGGGCTAGTAGAAACTAACCCAGTAGAAAAATGGGAAAGGAGAGGTATTTGGGAGGTGATGAGGTCATGAGGGTGCTGCCCTCCCGAATGGGACGAGTGCCCTTATACAAGAGGCCCAGAGAGCTGCCTTGCCTCCTCCACCACGTGGGGACACAGTGAGGAGGGCTATGAGGACGTGGCCTCACCAGACACTGAAACTGCCGGCACCTTGGCCAGGCGCAGTGACTCACTCCTGTAATCCCAGCACTTTGGGAGGCTGAGGCGAGCAGATCACCTGAGATCTGGAGTTCGAGACCAGCCTGCCAACATGGTAAAACCCCATCTCTACTAAAAATACAAAAATTAGCCAGGTGTGATGGCACATGCTTGTAATCCCAGCTACTTGGGAGGCTGAGGCAGGAGAATTGCATGAACCTGGGAGGCAGAGCTTGCAGTGAGCCGAAATCGCGCCACTGCACTCCAGCCTGGGTGACAAAGCAAGACTCTGAAAAAAAAAAAAAAAGTAAAATAAAATAAAATAAAAAGAAACTGCCAGCACCTTGATCTCGGACTTGCCAGCCTCCAGAACTATGAGCAACAATTTTTTGCTGTAGGCTAGGCACAGTTGCTTATATCTGCAATCCCAGAACTTTGGAAGGCCAAGGCAGGCGGATCACTCGAGCCCAGGGGTTGGATACTAGCCTGGGCAACATGGCGAAACCGTGTCTCTACAAAAAAAAAAAAAAAATTAAAAAATTAAAAAATTAGCCAGGCATGATGGGACGTGCTTGTAGTCCCAGCTACTTAAGAGGTTGAGGTGGGAGAATCGCTTGAGCCCAGGACGCCAAGATTGCAGTGAGCAAAGATCGTGCCACTGCACTCCAGCCTGGGCCACAGAGTGAGACTGTCTCAAAAAAAAAAAAAGAAAGAAAAAAAGAAAAATTTCTGTTGTTTATTAGCTAACCTGTTTATGGTACTTTTTAAATAGCAGCTCAAATGGCCTAACACAAAAAACTAAGTCAATTTTGAACCACAGAGCAGAGAAGGGGCAGGGCAACTCCTGAGCAGGCGCCATTGTGTGTTGCAGAGGCCGTGGTCCTGGGAACAGCATAGGCCAGGCGTCAGGACCATGGAACAGAGAGATCAAAACAGACCTGGGGTAGACAGGAACTCGATAAAGGTGGCAGCACAAAGGGAAAGGGCAAGGCTGGTTGTTTAGTGAATGAAGCTGGGAAAACTGGCTCCCTTTGAAGCCGGACTTCCACTTCACCCCAGTATTCCAGGTGGTCCCCAGCTGGATTAAAGGCCTACGGATGGAAGGGAAAGCTTCAGAGCTGATCAGTGAATACTCAGGATAACATCTTTGTGACCTATAGCGGGGGAAAGTTTTCTTAAGCAAAACTCCCCACATGCAAACCTGGGCTGAAAAAAGAATGGATTTGGCTAAATCAAAATCAAGGCTATCTGTTTAGTAAAGAACACCACAGCCCGGCCGGGCGCGGTGGCTCACGCCTGTAATTCCAGCACTTTGGGAGGCTGAGGCGGGCGGATCATGAGGTCGGGAGATCGAGACCGTCCTGGCTAACATGGGGAAACCCTGTCTCTAGTAAAAATACAAAAAATTAATCCGGGCGTGGTGGTGGGCGCCTGTAGTCCCAGCTACTCGGGAGGCTGAGGCAGGAGAATGGCGTGAACCCGGGAGGCGGAGCTTGCAGTGACCTGAGATCGCACGCTGCACTCCAGCCTGGGCGACAGAGTGAGACTCCATCTCAAAAAAAAAAAAAAAAGAACACCACAGCCCCACGCCAACAGAAGGCAGACTGGGAGGAGATGCTTGTGACGCCTACAAATGCTAAGGGATTACTATTAGAATATAGAAAGAGCTCCTGCTGATCAATACCAAGAGACGGGCAACTCAGTAGAGAAATGAGAAAGGAGAGGATGAGGTGGTTTTCAGAAATGGATGCCCAAATGGCTAGCAAGTGTTCGAAGAGACTCAAACACATCCGTGGGCAAAGAAATGCAAATTAAAGCAACAGTGAGATGCCACTGTCCATCCAGCAGGGTGGTGATGTTGAGAAGGTGGGTGGTTCCAAATAGTAACGTGGATGTGTGCCAGAACATCAGGCACAACTGACGGGAACGTTCCTCTGGGCAATTGGGCACCATTTAGCAAGACTGAGTGTGCATGCGCCCTCTGACCCAGCAATGCTAGAGAGGTGATCACAGGATGCCTGAGGGAGTGTGCAGAGCTATGCTTTGTATGTGTGGCATTGATTCTGAGGGCAGGGCTGGAGATGGACTCTGGGTTCACTGCCAGGTTCAAGGTGGATGCAAGCTGCGGTGTACTATGAAATACACAGGGGAGGAAACACTGAATCTGCTGTTCTATAGTTCTACAGACAGAGCTCAAAAGCAACGATACAACAGAAAAGTGAAATGGAAGAGAGTCAGAGCACGACATTGTTTGTGCAAGTCAACAACACGCACGCAGTGGTGCTCCGAGTACTTCACAGGGAAGCATGCGTCTTTAAGGAGACCAGACTTAGAGTAAGCACCTTTAGAGGTCATGGGAGGGATGATATGAGAAGACGGGAAAAATTAAGTAGAAAAAAAGAAGTCAGAGGTGTCTGTGAACACACATCTGTGTTAACAAAAGCTGTGATCCGAGGAGTATGGTTTCAGCACAAATCTCTGCAGCAGAGGTCCAAAGAAATCCATGAATCATCAAGCAAGTTCCAGATTTGCAACTGAATTTACAAGGTCATTTCTTTCTATATGGGGAAGCCATTAAATAAATGTAGATGGGAAAACTGGATTTTAATCTAGAGAAAAAGAAATTTTAATCCATATCATATCCCAGACATCACGATGAATTCCTGATGATTTAAAAGGTAATTTTAAAAATTACAAGGAAAAGTAGTTGCATGTCATCTCAACTCTGGAAGAAAGAGAACCATAGGCCACAGTTGTGAGGCCGAGACACAGCTGTTGAAAATGCTCGGCAGTGTCAGAAGCTACGCGTGGAGCAGTGAGTCGCGTGGAGCAGTGAGCCGCGTGGAGCAGTGAGTCGCGTGGAGCACTCAGCCATGTGGAGCAGTGAGTCTCGTGGAGCACTCAGCCACGTGGAGCAGTGAGTCTCGTGCAGCACTGAGCCGCGTGGAGCACTGAGCCGCGTGGAGCACTCAGCCATGTGGAGCAGTGAGCCTTGTGAAGGCTGTTCTTGCTATTGCTCATGGCCATCGCCTACTATTTCCACTTAACAGATGAGGCTCTTGGCCCTTGGTGAGGGAGGTAAGGACCTGGCCTGAAATCCTGGAGCAGCATGTGAACTGGTCTTGAGCCCAGGCCAGCAGTCTCAGAGCCTGTGCCTTGGCCCAGCCATGTGGCAGGGGCCCGGGTAAGAGCCACATAAAGGAATGGGACATAATCAAGAGAAAAGCAGCCACAGATGGGAAATAACAAGCTCCATAAAGATGATGGGGAGAACTAATATCAGTGTGAGGGCTTGTTAGGACTCGAATTCTCCCGAATAAAGTGTTCAAAGCAAGTGAAAACAGAGGTTGTTTAAAAGGAAACAAACCAAGCCAGGTGCAGTGGCTTACTCCTGTAATCCCAGCACTTTGGGAAGCCAAGGCAGGTGGATCACTTCAGGCCAGGAGTTCGAGACCAGCCTGGCCAACATGGAGAAACCCTGTCTCTACTAAAACTACAAAAAGTTGGCTGGGCGTGGTGGTGTGCACCTGTAATCCCAGCTACTTGGGAGGCTGAGGCTGGAGAATCGCTTGAGCCTGGGAGGCGGAGGTTGCAGTGAGCGGAGATTGTGCCACTGCACTCCAGCCTGGGTAACAGACCAGGACTCCATCTCAAAAATAAATAAATAAATAAAAATAAAAATAAAAAAAGGAAACACACCAAAAACCAGTGTCTAAAGAAGTGTTTCAGTTTGTAAGTCCTTAAAGATATGGCAACCAATAAGGCGTTATCACCTTGCACAGTTATTAAGTTATCAAAAAAAAAAAAAGATGCATGTTGTAAAATGCCACATTGGCAGAAGTATGAGGGACAGGCACATTCACGTACAGCGGGTGGGAGCCAAATGCATGTTCATCTGGACGGGTGAGCAAACGCCCCCCCGCAATGAATCGAAACACAACGGCTTTTCTCCCACCGGCCCCTTAAATGCATTTGGTTGGAGAAGGTGTTGCCCTCCCCATGTGAAAACTGGCCTGGTCTCAGCACCTTTCAGCTCATGCTCAAGCAAGAGGTTCTCACAGACACCATTCAGAAATAAGGACGTCCAGCTCATGAGAACGGCCTACACTCCAAATGTGCCTGCATGTCCCCTCATGGTGGGGCCGCCTTACTGTTTCTCCATCTGGAGCCCCACCTTGCCACCAGGTGGGCCGGCTTCCTGTCGGCCTGGCGGGTATGGGAAGCTGCCTCTCTCAAGGGGCCGCTCCATGGTTCCTCGAAGGTTTCCTGCTGGAGTTTTTCACCTGCAGATGCCGTGATGGGGCTGATGTGTTTCCTCTTCTTCAGGCCCCTCTGGTGTCCTCAGCCTCAGTTTTCTTCTGCAAGTTCATTGCATGCAGCCCCCTCGTGGAGTCCTCATATCTGCTTAGGCTGAGGGCCCCAGGAGCATCCTACATCCTCAGCCCCACGGGACTCCGGGAGGCAGGCAGGCCGCGCACAGTGCCGCAGTTGATTCACAGTCTGCTCCCACGGCGACGACTCGGCTGACACTGGCTCCCATGTGATCAGCAGACCCCAGCCCTCAGTGTACAGGGCCTCTGAGTGACACCATGGAAGCGCTCTCAGGAGGCTAGAGGTGAGGGAGGTCGCACCTCACGCTTCCTCCTTGGAAGGGGAGCATGCACAGCATAGCAAAGGCTCTCTCCAAATAAATGCACCCTAAACTCTTTTCTTCAGAATCCTCTTGTACACCTTGATATTCTCCTGGATGCTGAGGGGCTCAGTAGGAATTGGCATGCAGGCTGAACTTTGACGTGCTCACCTACTTTTCAATTTCACATTGCTTGCATCCTGGAGTGACCATTCACTCAGCTTATGTGTTTGAGCATTGGTGTGTGTTGGGCATTGGTGTGCGTTGGGCATTGGTGTGTGCTGGGCATTGGTGTGCGTTTGGGCATTGGTGTGTGTTGGGCATACAACACCAAGGTTCTGAGTATGCAAGGGTGCCTGAAAATAGTCTCTTTCTTGAGAATTCAAGGATGCAGATGGGACAGGGGTGGGCAAAGAAGACATCTGCCTTATGACCGCAAGGCGAGCTTCCTGGAATAGGTGCCACTGACTGCACGTGTGCCATGCTCAAGCCGAGGTGAGGCAGCAGCGTCCACTATGCATCTGCATTGTAAGCAACAGAAATCCACGTAAACTGGCTTCACCTCTAAAGGGAATTGATGGGCTCCTGTTCCTGACAAGTCCAGAGGTCATCTTGCTGGCTGCAGGTGAGGCTTGATCCAGCCATTCAAATGATGTCACCAAGAACCAGCTGCAGTCCTCCTCTGGGATTCTCTTGGTTCTGCTACTGGATTCATCCTTAGCCTGGTGCCCACCACAGAGGCAAGTAACTGCGCCATTGCAGCCATCCACCTTCACCCAGCTGCCTCCTGGAGAAGAGTGTTTTGTGTTCCCAAGGCACCCACGGGAGAGAGGGACTTTCCATCCCAGGAACTCCGAGGCTCACTCTGATTAGACCCACTAAAGTTGCTTGAGAAATCCCTGGGACCAGTGACATGCAATGCGATAACTGTCTTAAGTCCTAGTCTATGTCAGGAATCTAGGACAAGGATTGAATGTC
The DNA here is from genome assembly GCF_000001405.40 of Homo sapiens. NCBI lineage: Eukaryota > Metazoa > Chordata > Mammalia > Primates > Hominidae > Homo > Homo sapiens. Next base: position 179,379,210 of record NC_000005.10, on the reverse strand, counting down.
CTGAATTTGACCACGAGTGTTCCTTGTTCTGGGAAAGAATGCACCAGACCCTGCATGATTGTTTGGGAAAATATGCACATCCACTTAGGAGGCAGTGGCAGCATGCAGAGGGGGCAGCAGAACAAGAACCAGGATGCAGGACAAGGACGGGGGCGGGGGGCACGAGATGGACACCGGATGCTCCCCAATCAAAGCTGCTCTGTGGGTTTCAGAAATGGGAACACCCGTCCCTTCAAGCATCCATAGTGTGTGAACTGTAGGACTGTAGGGTGAAGGTCATCCCAGAGCTCAGCATTGAAACCAGCCGGAAATTGTTCAGTTGGGGGAACTAGGGGAAAGGGAACAGTGGTGTGGAGGGCAGAGGCAGTGGTGGGAAGCCTGTGTGTGGCCGACGCATGCTTTTACGCTGTCATCACGGCCTTGCTTTCTATAGCAGGGATCTGAGAAGCAGGCAGGCAGCTGCTCTGCCCGAGACTGTCAGGAGTTGGTGGATGTGAATCCATGTCTGAAGCCCAAGCTCTCACTACTCTGCTGTCTCCCTGAGGGGTGCATGAAGGCCCCAGCCCAGCCAGTGACACAGAGGTTGGGAAGACCAGGGCGTGAAGCTTCTGTGCTTGGAGAACAGGAGGGCTTGTGGAGCTGTGGTTGATGGCGTGTCCAGGAAGCCTGGCCAGGGTGAGTAACAGGCCTTGTATGTCAGGCTAAGAAAGTTGCCCTTGACAGTGCGGGATGTGGGGAGCCATGGGCAGGTTTTCAGCAAGGACATAAAGAGATCAATTCCAGGCTTTGGAGAGAGCACCAGGGTGCTGGGTGCAGGGATAGGAGTTGGGGTGGGTACTGAGGGTGCCAGCCATGAGGACAATGGTGGCACCTGGAAGCATGCATCCCCAGGCTGTGGTGAGCAGCCCCGGGCGCCAGGCACTGGGCTGGGCACTGAATCCCCCTTACCACACTGACCTGCACTACTGAGCTATGGAGCTGGGGGTTGTCACACCGTCCAACGAATAGGGAAATGCAGGCTCCAGGTTCTGAGAGCAGGTGGAGTAAAGCACATCCACTGGAGGTGGCCCTGTGTGCCTGGCTCTGCGTCAGGCACTCGGGCCATAGAGCCTCACCCAGTCTCAGAGGACACCATGGCCTGTCTGCTGCTGCCCCTGGTGCTTCCTGGCATCACTGGCTGGAAAGGAGGCTTTGGGGCCTCTGCACATTTTCACCACCACCCCCCATCCTTTAATACCTCTTTCCTCCTCCATGGCTGGGCCTGGAGGATCTTTGTTTCCAGCTGGGGTCTGGCAACAGCCTCACCACGATGGCATGGCGGTGGGCCCGGCCTCTACCCGCTGCGCCACAGCTCCTGGCTCCTGGCTCCAGGTCATCTCTGCCCACAGCCAGTGTCTCTGGTGAGCCTGGGCAGGTGGGAGGCCGAAGCTGTGCCCCACTGGTTTGGATGCTGAGCTCTGGGGTGACCTGCACCCTGTAGTCCTACAGTTCACACGCTATGGATGCCTGAAGGGATGGGTGTCCCGTTTCTGAAACCCACAGAGCAGCCTTGATTGGGAGGCGTCCTGTGCCCATCTCGTGCCCCCCGTCCTTCTCCTGCGTCCAGGTTCTGGTTCTGCCGCCTCCTCCGCACGCTGCTCACCAGCCTGCTAAGTGGATGTGAATAAACAATCATGCAGGGTTTGGTGCATTCTTTCCTGGAACAAGGAAGACTTGTGGTCAAATTTAGGACATTCGATCCTTGTCTTGAATTCCTGACAAAAATCCTCCCAGGGTGACAGCTAAACCCTTAGGCTGGCTGAGTTCTGCGCCCCCATTTTTCCAGCCGCATTCGCAGCCCCTACACAGCTACACACCCCGGGCATCCAACACTGGCCCTCTCCCCACCAGGTCACGTGCTTTCACACCTGCCTGCCTTGGCACAGGTGCCCCACCAGAGCGGTGCCCTGCGGGGACTGAATGTGTCTGTGCTCCTCTGACTCTGCCGGCTGTTTCGGGCGCAGCAGCCTCCTCTAGGCACATCTCCCTTGCTCCCTGAGGGGCTTCTCTCTCAGTTATGTAAATGGCAGGAGACATTTTCCTGGTCCTGAGACAGGAGTGAGAAGATGGCTTTAAAACCTGCCTCACTGCTTGTGGATCTAGATGGTGCCTGGGGAGGAGTGGGCGGCTCTGGGTTAAATGTGTATAAAGACAGGGATGTTCTTCCTTCCAACGAGCCTGCTCTAGAAGGTCTCCCTGCCAGTGTCTCTGGATCTGGCCTGGTGGGTGCTGCCTCTGTGAGCAGCATTGCCCCTGCCTCCACCTGAGGGTCACCGTGGCTCCCTTATAGGGGTGACATGTGCTCCGGACTGCTTTGTGGATGGAGAGTGGGGCACAGGTCCATCGCCACCCACACTTTTTTTTTTTTGAGACAGAGTCTTGCTCTGTGGCCCAGGCTGGAGTGCAATGGCGCGATCTCAGCTCACAGCAACCTCCGTCTCCCAGGTTCACAAGCGATTCTCCTTCCTCAGCCTCCCAAGTAGCTGGGATTACAGGCATCCACCACCACGCCCGGCTAATTTTTTTTTTTTTTTTTTTGAGACAGAGTCTCGCTCTGTCACCCAGGCTGGAGTGCAGTGGCGCGATCTTGGCTCACTGCAAGCTCCACCTCCTGGGTTCACGCCATTCTCCTGCCTCAGCCTCCCGAGTAGCTGGGACTACAGGTGCCTGCGACCACGCCCGACTGATTTTTTTTTGTGTTTTTATTACAGACGGGGTTTCCCCGTGTTAGCCAAGATGGTCTCTATCTCCTGACCTCGTGATCTGCCCGCCTCGGCCTCCCAAAGTGCTGGGATTACAGGAGTGAGCCACTGCACCTGGCCATGCCTGGCTAATTTTTTATATTTTTAGTAGAGATGGGGTTTCACCATGTTGGCCAGGCTGGTCTTGAACTCCTGACCTCAGGTGATCCACCCACCTCAACCCCCACAAAGGGCTGGGATTACAGGTGTGAGCCACTGCACCCGGCCTGTCCACAATTCTGGTGGGACCTGGTGGTATAGACATGGCTGGTCTGGCTGGTAGCCACTCTCATGCAGTACAGCCCAGGAGGGGGCATTGGGCTGAGCTCCTCCCCCTTTCCCCTCCCCCAGCCGGACTCCTCCCTTTTTCCCCTCCTCTGGCTGGACTCCTCCCCTTCCCCCTCCCCCACTGAGATCCTTCCCCTTCCCCACCACCCCTGGCTGGGCTCCTCCTCCCCAGGGGCTGGAGTCCTCCCTCTTCCCCCTCCCCCAGTTGGACTCTTCCCCCTTCCCCCCTCCCCCAGTTGGACACTTCCCTCTCCCCCTCCCCTGAATGGACTCCTCCCCCTTCCCCCCTCCCCTGCTGAGCTCCTCCCCCTTTCCCCCTCTCCTGGCTGGACTCCTACCTCATTCCCCTCCCCCGCTGAGCTCCTCCCCCTTTTCTTCTCTCCCCCAGCTGGACTCCTCCCCCTTCTCCCATTCCCTGGCTGGGCTCCTCTTCCTTGGGACCCTCATAGCTTGATGAGAAGACAGTGCCCTCTTGGCCAGACCAGGACATTATTTGACAGTAGAGAAACTGGAGTGTAGACAAACACCATGGATGCTGTGTGGAAGAGTTGTTCCCAGCTGAAGATGTCCCTCCTCAGTGAAGCCCTGCCTGAGCGTCTCCGGTCCTTCTCAGCAGCCAGAGGCTTCTCAGCACTTCTGCGTTCCCATCTGGGTGGGAACTGCATGGCCTGTTTAAGCACAAGGAGGGGGAGTGTGGGGAAGGGGGAGCAGAGTGAGTGGGGAGGTCAGAAAGGCAGGCACTGGTTCATGTAGGGTGGTTGATACAGTTTGGATGTTTGTCCTCTCCAAATCTCATACTGAAATCTGACCCTCAATGCTGGAGGTGGGACCTGGTGGGAGGTGCTTGGGTGACATGGGCCAATCCCTCATGAATGGCCTGGTGCCCTCCCTGTGGTAATGAATTCCCATGAGATCTGATTGTTAGAAAGAGCCTAGGTAGCTCCTCTCTCTTGCTCCATCTGTCACTGTGGGACACCTCTGCTACCCTTCCCCTCCCACCAGGAGGGTAAGCTTCCTGAGGCCCTGACCCCAAGCAGATGCTGCTGCCATGCCTCCGGTACTGCCTGCAGAACTGTGGACCAAATAAACCTCTCTTCTTTATAAACGGCCCAGTCTCCGGCGTTCTTTTATGGCAACGCAAAACGTATAAGCACAATCTTGTGGAGAAACTTCCCTACCACGGCGGCCTTGGCAGTCGGTCCTGCTCCTGATGAGGTGATAGAGAACAGCACCTGAGATGATTAGAGGAGAGGGCCCTGACATCCTCTGTGCCCTCTGCCCTGGCATCCTCTGTGCCCTCTGCCCTGACATCCTGAGTCCTCTGCCCCGACGTCCTCTGTGCCCTCTGCCCCAACGTCCTCCGTGCCCTCTGCCCCGACGTCCTCTGAGTCCTCTGCCCTGACGTCCTGCGTGCTCTCTGCCCCAATGTCCTCTGAGTCCTCTGCCCCGACGTCCTCCGTGCCCTCTGCCCCGACGTCCTCTGTGCTCTCTGCCCCGATGTCCTCTGAGCTCTCTGCCCTGATGTCCTCTGAGTCCTCTGCCCCGACGTCCTCCGTGCCCTCTGTCCCGACGTCCTCTGTGCCTTCTGCCCTGACGTCCTCCAAGTCCTCTGCCCCAACGTCCTCCGTGCCCTCTGCCCTGACGTCCTCTGAGTCCTCTGCACCGACGTCCTCTGTGCCCTCTGCCCCAACGCCCTCTGAGTCCTCTGCCCTGACGTCCTCCTTGCTCTCTGCCCTGACGTACTCTGTGCTCTCTGCCCTGACGTCCTCCAAGTCCTCTGCCCTGACGTCCTCCAAGTCCTCTGCCCGGACGTCCTCCGTGCCCTCTGACCTGAAGTCGGGGCCGCCTGACTGGACCATGACTCTCCACCTATGCCTGGCTGCCGAACAGCGTGAGGGCACTTCTGAGGGGGCAGAGAGTCCCTTGATGGGCCTGCCGCAGCCCTGGGCCTGGTGTGTCTCCCTTTGTCCCTGCTGGCCTCATCCATCTGACTGCATGCCTTCTGTACCCTGTGTCCTGGCTCCCTGCCTCGGCCCCTCTCTTGCAGTGGGACAGGGCACACACCCTGGACCCCGACGCTGATTGGCTGGGTGCAGACCTCGTACCCCAACACCCACAGCCCTGCCCTGTTCCCAGCTCCCAGAACACACCCTGGTCTCCTTCCTAGGGATTGAGACTCAGAATATGCAGCGTCCTCGTGAGCCACCTAGATGTCCTACTCACCCAGGCCTGTGGGGCCCTGCTCTCAGGCACCCCTTGCCAGGGTGTCCTCCTGTGTGAAGGAGCCTGCCTGCTTGGGGTGTGGAGCCACCCCAGGCTCCAGCTTGTGAGCTGGTCCATGAAAATTTGGTGCCTTCCTGGAGAGAGAAGCCTGCCGGCTTGGTAAGTGGGCTCAATCATGTGTTCCCTGGGGAGCCCTCCAGAGTCTGTCTGAATTGGAGAGGGAGCTCAGGTTATGGGAACCCATCTTGGCGGCCTGGCAGAGCCGTGGGCGTTTGAATTAGGATTCTTGGCTGCAACTGTCAGAAGCTGGCTCAGACCAGCTGACGGGCTCTTAGAACCAAACTGTTGCTGCGTCCAAGGGGCCCCGGCAGTAGGCGCAGCATGTCCAGACCCTCTCTCGTCCACTTCTGGGGCCTGGCCCAGGCCAGCTTCTTCCCCTCTAGGCTCCCGACAGTGGCAGACCCTCGCTTCAGAGCCGCTCCTCCAAGAGGAAATGTGCCTCAAGCCTTAGGTCCAGTCGGAAAGCACTGGGGAAGGATGCTGATTGGTCCGGCTTGGGCCGAACGTCCAATCCTGCCGCAGGAGGTGAGGCACTGCATTTGATTGACAGCTCTCCGCCCTACCACTGCGAGAGTGCGCAGCGTCCCAAAGAGGGCGAGGGGTGGTGTGGACAGCTCTGTCCCTTATCGAGGGGGAGCACTGAGGTTCCTGGCATGTGGTCGAGACCCTCCTCACAGCTGTTCAGGTGTGGGACGGGAAGACAAAGAAGACCACTGGTCTCACAATTTGGGACACAGCAGAAGCCCACGCTCCTGGTGCCGGCGTTGACATGTGCTAGCAATGACGGTGCCCCCATAATGGACAGGCCCTGTGCCAGGCGCTTTAAATGAACAATACCGAATAGGCCTGAACCTTCCCACAGGTATGACTATTCCTATTTTTAATAGGAGGAAACTGAGGCTCAGAGACTTAAAGTGACTGTAAGAGGCCAAAAAATTACCAGCCTGGCAGAGCTATAGCTGAGTCAGGGTCTGCCCAGCTCCAAAACCTGGGCCCTTCCTCCAAAAACGCTGCCACCCACAGACAAGGCCAAATAGAAAGAGAAGACTCTTCAAAATACAATGTGATGGAAACAAAACAACACACCGTAAATGTAAAACAAGAAAAATATGCCAGATGAAATGAGCCAACAGCTTCCTCAATCAATGGGCGAGATAAAACAGGAAAGGAGCTACAAAGATTTCTGAAAAGTTAAAAGTCGGGGAGTAAAGAGCACTAGCAACGGAGCAAACAAGGCCAAGGAAACTGAAATAGGGGACCTGAACATACGTGAGCCCAGAGCCTCGGGAAGGGCTGGAGCTGTGCGGTCTCCGGGAGTCTGGAGCTGGGCTCCGGCCTCCTGCTCCCCTTCCCCGGGGCCCAGGGCTGGCAGCCCCACACTGGCAAGGGGCTCAAGGAAGTTCTCACAGCCCGCCAGGATCCCTGGCTCTGGAATTGGGCACCCTGACCACACAAGCTGATGACACAGGGAGCGGATACACTGGGCTCTTGCCCAGGTCTGGGTTCAGTGCCCACTTCTGTAGCTGATCTAGGTGAATGAGGATGATGCTTTCCTGGTTCAACTACTTGGCATCTCCATGAAGGATCCTGCACATGCATCTGCTTACAGACTCCTGTCAAATCATAACTGCTCACATGGCAGACAGGCTCCCTGCAGTTTTCCCTGATCTAAGAGGATTAACTAGGAGGGCAGCAGACCTGGGGGCCTGTGGTGGTGGGTGGGGTCTTTAACCTGGATCCCATTCTCAGCCTCCCCCACAGGGGTCTGTCTCTGGCCCAGGAGGCCTGCCCAGCCCATACCAGCCTGGGTGGAGGCTGCAGGTTCAGTGGCTCCTGAGTC